>NC_000023.11:35746050-35896407 GCF_000001405.40 Homo sapiens
TGAACAACATAGGTTTGAATTGCATGGGTCCACTTATATGTGGATTTTTTTCAACCAAATGCGGATCAAAAATACAGTATCGGCCAGGCACGGTGGCTCATGCCTGTAATCCCAGCACTTTGGGAGGCCAAGGCAGGCGGATCACTTGAGGTCAGGAGTTCAAGACCAGCCTGGCTAATGTGGTGAAACCCTGTCTCTACTAAAAATACAAAAATTAGCCGGGTGTGGTGGCAGGCACCTGTAATCCCAGCTACTCGGGAGGCTGAGGCAGGAGAATCACTTGAACCTGGGAGGCGGAGGTTGCAGTGAGCCAAGATTGAGCCATTGCACTCCAGTCTGGGCAACAAGAGTAAAACTTTGTCTCAAAATAAATAAATAAATAAATAAATAAATAAAACCACAATGAGATATCATCTCACACCAGTCAGAGTGGCTATGATTAAGAAGTCAAAAAAACAGATACTGGTGAGGTTGTGGAGAAAAAGAACGCGTTTACACTATTGGTGGGAGTGTAAATTAGTTCAACCATTGTGGAAAACAGTGTGGCAATTCCTCAGCAGCCTAGAAGCAGAAATACCATTTCATCCAGCAATTTCATTACTGGGTATATACCCAAAGGAATATAAATAATTCTGTTGTAAAGATACATGCACGCGTATGTTCATTGCAGCACTATTCACAATAGCAAAGACATGGAATCAATCTAACTGCCCATCAATGATAGACTGGATAAAGAAAATGCAGTACGTATACACAATGGAATACTATGCAGCCATAACAAGGAATGATATCATGTCCTTTGCAGGGACACGGATGGAGCTGGAAGCCATTATTCTCAGAAAATTAACAAAAGAACAGACAACCAAATACCGCATGTTCTCTCTTATAAGTGGGAGCTGAATGATGAGAATACATGGACACATTGGAGAGAACAACAGATATTGGGGCCTCTCAGAGGTGAGGAGTGGAAGGAGGGAGAGCATCAGGAAGAATAGCTAATGGGTGCTGGGCTTAATACCTTAGTGATGGGATCATCTGTGCAGCAAACCATCATGGCACATGATTACCTATGTTACAAACCTGTACATCCTGCACATGTACCCCTGAACTTAAAAAAAAAAAAAGATAAAGCAAATTTTAAAAAAAGAAAATACACAATTATTGTTAACTGGTTAACTGCAGTCACCCTATAGTGATATAGAACACTAGATCTTATTCCTCCTAACTGGCTATAATTTTGTATCTGTTAACCAACTTCTCGTACCTGACCCCCAAACAATTTCCCAGCCTCTAGTAACCACTATGCTACTCTCTACTTCTGTGACTTTTTTTTAGCTTTCACATATGGGCGAGAACATGTGGCATTTATCTTTCTGTGCCTGGCTTATTTCACTTAACAATGTCCTCCAGCTAATCCATGTTGCTTTGAATGACAGGATTTTCTTCTTTGTTATGGTTCGCTCAATAGTGTCTTATCATGAACGTATAACTCATTTTCGTTTCCATTCATGTATTGATTGGCACTTAGGTTAAGTCCCAATCTTGGTTATTATGAATAGTGATACAATAAAGGTGGGAATGCAGATATCTCTTCAACATACTGCTTTTCTTTTATTTATTTATTCTTTAGATTTATACCAAGTAGTGGAATTGTGGGATCATATGGTAGTTATATTTTTAGTTTTTTGAGGAATCTTTATACTGTTTTCTATAGTGACTGTACTAATTTACATTCTCATAAACAATGTATAGAAGTTTCATTTTCTCCATGTCCTTGCCAGCATTTTGTTTTGTTTTGTTTTGGTAATAGACATTCTAACTGGGGTGAGGTGATACATCATTGTGGTTTTGCTTTGCAATTCCCTGATGATTAGTGATGTTGAGCATTGTTTTCTATACTTATTGGCTGTTTTTATGCCTCCTTTTGAGAAATGTCTATTCAGATCATTTGCCCATTTTTAAATTGGATTATTTATTTTTGGTGTTTTTTTGCTGTTGTTTTAATTCCTTTTATATTCTAGATATTAGCCCTTTGTTAAATGAATAGTTCACAAATATTTTATCCTATTTTGCAAGTTTTCTCTTCACTTTCTTGATTGTTTACATTGCTGTGCAGAGGTTTTTTAGCTAGATATAATCCCATTTGCCAATTTTTGCTTTGCTTGCCTTTGCTTTTGTGTTCTCCATAAACTTTTTGCTCACACCTATGTCCTGAAGCATTTCCACAATATTTTCTTCTAGTAGTTTCACAGTTTTAGGTCTTACTTTTAAGTATTTAACCCATTTTGTGTTTATTTTTTTATACAGTGAGATATTGGGGTCTAATTTATGTCTTCTGCATATAGATATTCAGTTTTTCAGCCCTATGTATTGGAGAAACTATCATTTCTCCAATGTGTGTTTTGGGCACCTTTGTGGAAAATTAGTTGGCTCTAAATAAATGAATTTAAGGGTTCTCTATTTTATTCCATTGGTATATGTGTCTGTTTTTAGATACCTTATTGGTTTTAAAAAAGGTAGGAACCTGCATCATGTAGAAGAGACCAGCAAAGAATGAGTCAGACCCAGATCAAGCCACTTGGAATGCCCTCAGTTTGGCAACAGTTTAATAATTGTAATGCAGGTAAATTAATATTTGCTCTTTATGTGCATTTTTAAGATGTATTAATTAAATATATATTTTTAAAACTATGGGAAATGAGTTAAGTACATCTAAGGACTACTAGTACATAGTGAGAAGCAACTTTTTAGGTACTTAAAACACCCTTCAGGATTACATAGAGCAATTCTTTAGGACATTTTCATATTTTGGAGACTACAGTTTTAGAGCAAGCTAAGAGTATGATGAATATTTAGATTTGTTTCCAAACATCACCTGGCTTTTACATTTCACCATTCTGCATTTCAAACTCCTCCAGACATGTTACCTGGTATTTTTTAACTAATATTATTACAAATAATTTTTTCAGATACTTCATGGTAGGGCATACTGTGTTTTTCTCCACTGACCACTGAAAGTAGCACTCTGTTGTCTATTTCTTTAGTGATAATTTTGAGGGAGAGAGTAGAGATTTATTTTTGCTAAAATTTTCAAATTCTGAAATCCCAACATTAATTTTGCATTTGTAAAGAAATTTCCAAAAACTTCTAAATTTGTACTCAGTGGAAGCCATACCAATTTTATTTTTCTATTATCAGAAGAATATAAGTTGAGGGTATCTTGGTTTATCTTGGTTTATAATTAGTTTACTGAATTTTGGTTTTGCTTGTCTTTAAGGTTTTCCCCTTGAAATGACATGGGAAAAAAAAGACTTAAAGTTATTTGCATATTTTAACAAATAATTATAAAATAAACACTCTTGTATTCAAAATTCTTGTCAGGAAAGAGAACATTATTAGTACTCCAGAGGTCTATCGTAGATAATTTTCTAATTAAAATATGGTTTAAAGTCTGTAGGCATTGGTTCTCTATAGCTATTGTTTTCTACAATTTGGGGAATTTGACATGAAAAAGGTGAAATGTTAAAGTTCACCAGAGAAACAGAACCAATATGATGACTGAGAGGTCCCATAATCTTCAGTAAGCAGACTGAAAACCTAGGAGAGCCGATGTGTAGTTCCAGCCTGAGTCTGAAGGCCTTAGAATCAGGAGACCTGATCGTATATGTTACAGTTTGAAAGCTGGGAGGCTTGAGACCCAAGAAGAGCTGATGTTTCAGATTTATTCTGAAGTCTGGAAAAGACCAGTGTCACAGCTCTGACATGCAAATGTCTTACCAGTAAGTCTAAAATAGTTCCTACTTTTTGTTCACTAGGTCTAATCAGCATAATGTAACCAATGTGATGGATCAGTGTGATAGATATCGTGTGGAAAAGAAAGAGAATCGATATCCCTATGAACTAAATTTTAACATGGGGCTGAACAGTGGAGGTGATTTGATGGCCTTAGCTGAAAGCAAATTGCTTCTGGTGGTCCTTATTGACAAATATGGAGAAAAAGGAATTTGACAGATCAATAGCTATATACCATATACCACCAGATGTGTTAATTCGCTAAAACAACAAAACCATATCTGGTACATGAGCTGCAATTGGAGTCATCACCTGATTAAGCTAATGATTATCTGCTGTCACTCTTCAAGATTGTTCTGTTTCTTGCACAGGCCAAAAAGGAAGTTAAATGGGGATGTGGTGGGAATCACCACCCTAGCCTCTTTCAGGTTTTTTTATGAAGGCACTAATCTCTGCAATCCCTCTAAGAAAGTAGTATTCCTTTTACTTGACTATTTTCCAAGGTTTAGGGAGTTCTAGTGGCTTCCACTTGGCTTTTCTCATCATAATGAACCTTATTCCACATGTCAGGGAACCAACGTAGGCATTTTGCCAGCTACTGAGTATATCTATTTCAATTATGCTTTTCCAAATTGGGGAAATAACTACAGAATTGGTTTAGGGACCCACTGCACCCACTGCGAGATTAATGTGAGCTAAAACTTTATTGATTACATGACTTCCATAAGTTCTTACTTTGACTGGTGGACCACAGTGAAATTTTGAGCTTCCTGGAATTAGTGTCAGCTCGGAGCCAGTGTCCAGTAAACCCTGAGAGGTCTATTTATTTTATTTTCCCCAATGCACAGTTACCCTGATAAAAGGGCTTAGGTCCTTTTGGGGAAGGCTATGAAATAGATTAACATTATAAATTTTTAGCAATGTATTGAGGTCCTTGCATAAGGATACCTGGCCTCCCCTTCATCTAGGTGGTTCTTGGTCTGTAAGCCGGCTCACGTCTGGGAATTGATTGAAGGGCCATGACTCTGTTTTTATTACTCATGTTAGACTTTTATTCACTTAAGCTAGACATTTTCTTCTTATAAGATCAAGTTAGGATTTAGTAGGCTTTATACCCATTTTACTTCTAGGAACACAATAATTATCTAGCCAATGCCATAGTCCATGTGAATGAGACTATTCTGATTGCTGTTTTGAATGCCACCACTTGATCTCTGCCACTCTGGGATCCAATTATTCCTATTGCATGAGGGTTTCCCAGTTTGGTGACTGCAGTTCTCACTGTAATGTCTGGCCTACAGAGAAAAATGATCACACAACTCTTCAGTAATGCCAGGACTCCTCTCAAGAATTTATTTCTCACAGCGTTAATGAAAGCTGTGTCTTCTGTATCCTCTCATTGTGAGTGAGTAGAACATTTCATGCTCCCTAAACCTTTGAATCCCTTCCTCTACATAAAACGAAAGCAGGTTTGGCATTTCCAACTTGCTCACTGTGGGCTATTTCTTGGTCCATGTTTCAGCCAAACAACCAAACTCTAACTCCCTGAGCTTCAACATTAAATGTAGAATATCTGATTAGTAAGTTCATATCAATAAATTAGGCCCGATTCAACTTTATGTTTCTTCCACTATTATTTTGTACTTTCAATATCCATTGCCATATATGTTCTTCAGATTTATCTGAATATTAGAATATTCAAGTAGTTATTTTGGAGTGCACTGTACCTTTTCATGAGTCATCCTTTGTACCTTACCTTTGTAAGTGTATGTTTTTGGAAATCAAAATTGTATTACTTCTCCCAAGCCAATATTACTTCTCCCAAGCCAAAAATAAGGTAGAATATGATACAACATAGGAATATTTTATTCTGTTTATAAATTCCTATTCGATATAAAATTAAATGTATTTTCCATTGTTCATTTAATTACTTTTATGAAATATATTAAGTTATATTAATTCTTTTAATTTTATATTATTTCACTCTTTTGTTTTATTTGACCTTTATAACCTTCATTATAGCCTGAAAATTTTTAGCATTCAAACTGAACAGAAATGAATATTAAAAATGATTTAATAAAATGTTTCAGAATTTCAGCAGAGCACTTAAAATTCATCATTTCAGTGCTTCGGTTTTACTTAAAGATGAATGTCATTTTAATGAACCTAGGAGGACATGTCCATGCCCTGACTTTCAAAATAAAAGTTATCTTCCACTTGCATTAATTTCGTTCCCACTTGATAAAACTATAACTTTAAATGCCATGTGGATCACCTTGGTTATTATGTATTCAAAAAATACATATTGGGAAACATGAGTGACATGTGACATATACCATAGGTATTGACCAACAGAATTAGAGTTCGGCATGAGGAAAATGTACTAAGAAAGGTATTTTACATTTATAGTCGATAGAATTCAAACTAATGCTTCAAAAGGCTGTGCTTTCAAAGAGTTTCACAAATTTAGCGGGGGATATGAAGACCTTGAATAGCCACTTAAGCTCTCCTCACTTAAGCTGGAATGTCTAAATGGTGCACTGACCAACATGTAAGTGCTTTGTTATAACACACACCGATTTTGGGTTAGCAGATTGTATACCTCGCTTTAGTAGATGATCATTTCACCTGTTAAGTTTCTCTGATTTGGAAATAAAGATAAAAGTGGATTAATTAGGGGAGTGACATCAGCAATACACTAGAATAGGAAGTCCCGGACTTCATTCTTCCACAGAAACACTGACTTTACAACAACATAAGAATCAAAATGCTTTCCTGATAACTCCAGAAGCCAGTTAAGAGGTTTTAGTAACCCAGGTGAGCACACAACTAAAAACAGCTGCATTTAAACAGGTAAGAAGAGCTGGTTCACTTTACCAATATCCACCCCACCCCCAAGCCAACACAATTTGACATGATTGAGAGGATATATAAATACAGCTCGTGGCTTCTTTCTTGGGGAGAAGGGGTGAGAAGACTGGAATGTGCACCAGCATTCAGGTTTTTCAGAGGGCTGTTCTAGGAACTATTTTATGTCACCTAAGGGTGCTCACAGAACCAATGTAGTTCAAATGCATGGGAGTCGCTGAAAGCAAAGGAGAGTGAAGATGGCTTGCTGTGGTACCAGAGGCTGTGCAGTGCTACAGACAGAGGCGAGAAAAGCTCAGAACAATGGGGAGAGAGCATCCAGTTTACAGCTTCTCCCACAGGAAGAAGGGAGAAGAGCAGAGCATGCGTCTGGTGTTCCAGCTCTTTGGAGGATTCCTGAGGTACTGATTTCTGCTTTGCTTTACCTACGGTGCTGACAGAGAGGCAGCCTAGTTTGGATGCCTGATTATTACTCAAATCAGTCTCCCGGAGTATTCGGGGATTGGAGTTTTTAAAGATAATTTGGCGGGTAGGGGCTCAGTAAAATTCCCTCCCAAGGTTAGTTCAGCCTATGCCCGGGAATGAACAAGGACAGCTTAAAGATTAGAAGCAAGATGGAGTTGGTTAGGTCTGATTGCTTTCATAATTTCCTGTGTTATAATTTTGTGAAGGGAGTTTCAGTTACACTGAGAGAGGAAAAAAAGAAACCCAAAACAATCAACCAAGAATACAATGTCTGACAAAATTATTCTTTAACAGTTAAAATGATGCTATCCTGATAAAAACTGAAGAGGTCCTTCCTTTCTGGAACTGCCTCATGAAAAATGCTAGAGAGAATCCTATAAGAACCCTAGACAGCAACATGAAAGTATCTGAAGACATAAAATTCATTTATAAGCGTGTCGACAGAAAGAGTCAAACTCTGTAAAATATTTGAAGATATTTATTCTGAGTCAAATATGAGTGACTAATAACCTGTGATACTGCCCTCAGGAGATCCTGAGAACATGTGCCCAAGATGATTGGGCTAGAATTTGGTTTGATACATTTTAAGGAGATTTAAGGCATCAATCAATACATGTATTATGTACATTGGTTTGGTCCAGAAAGGCAGGACAACTGGAATTGGGGGCTTCCAAGTCATAGGCAGAGTCAAAGATTTTCTGATTGCCAATTGGTTGAAAGAGTTATTATCAATAGAAAGGAATGTCTGGGTTACAATAAGGCATTGTGGAGAATACTAGGTAGCAGGCTTCAAAGAGAATAGACAGTAAATTAGTAAATACTTCTTATCAGACATAAAGAGTCGTTCTATCAGTAACTCCAAAAGGGAAGTGGGTAAAATGAGGCATGTCAAGCTCCTCCTTCCTATCATGGCCTGAACTAGTTCTTTTCAGTTTTACTTTGGAATGCCCTTGGCCAAGAGGAGGTATCCATTCAGATGGTTTGGGGACCTTAGAATTTTATTTTTGGTTTACAACGGTAAATGTGTAGACAAATAAAGAATACTGTAACGCTGTAATAGAGGTGCTTAAAGCTCTCTTAATTCTGGTATAGAATTAAAAGCATAAAAATTGTTATAATTATCAAACTACATTAACTGATACACAACATGTAAAGATATAATTTGTAAAATCAATAACATAAAGTGGGGCTGGGGAGACATAAAATAATAAAATTTTTGCATGCAGTTGATGTTAGGTTTTTATCAGCTTAAAATATATTGTTATAACAGTAAGATAGTTTAGGTAAGCACAATGGTCACCACAAAAACTATACCTGTAGAAGATACACAAAAGAAATGAGAAAAGAATCCAGGCATGTCAATACAGAAAAACAAACAAACAAACACACACACACACAAAGAAAGGCAGCAACAGAACAAGAAGGACATGTTAGCTACAAGACAAATAGTCAACAATTACAAAAATATTAATAGTAAGACTTCCCTATCAGTACTTTTTAAATATAAATCAATTAAACCCTGTAATCAAAAGACATAGAAAGGTTGAATGTATCTTTTAAAAGATGCAACTATATCCTTACAAAGACTTACCTTAGATGTAAAGACACAAATAGGCTGAAAGCGAGATTATGGAAAAAGATTATCCATGCAAATTGTAACTAAATGAGAACTGGAGTGGCCTTACTTACATCAGATAAAACAGACTTTAAATCAAAAGTGACGAAGAAGGGCATTATATAATGGTTAATGGTCAATTCACCAGGAAGACATAACATTTGTAAAATATATTCACTTTACATCAAAGCTCCCAGATATATGAAGCAAAAATTGACAGAATTGAAGGCAGAAATTGGCAGTAACACAATAATATTAGGAGATTTCAAAAACCTCATTTTCAACAATGAATAGAACAACCAGACAGAAGATAAATAAGGAAAGAGAGGACTTGAACAACAGTATAGAACACAATTGAAGCTAGGAGACATATACAGAACAATCCATCCATTTCGTTCCAGGCACACATGGAAGATTGTCTAGAATAAATCACACTTTAGGCCAAAGAAGAAATCTTAATACATTTAAGAAGTTTAAAATTATACTGAATATCTTTTCTGACCACAATTGAATATAACTAGAACTCAATACATGTAGAAAAACTGAAAAATTCACAAGTATGTGGAAATTAAACAACATACACTTGAAAAACCAGTGGGTCAAGGAAGAAATCACAAAGAGAATTAGAAATATCTCGACCCAAATGAAAAAAAAACACAACATACCAAAACTTATGGGATACAGCAAAAGAAGTACTCAGAGGAAGGTTTATAGTGATAAATGCCTACATTATAAAAAAAAGAAAGGTCTCAAATCAACAATATACCTTTACAAATCGAAGAACTAGAAAAAGAAAAATGACATAAACTCAAAGATAGCAGAAGGAAGAAAGTAATAAGTATTAGAACAAAAATAAATAAAATACAAGAATAGAAAATTAATAGGAAAAAAACAATAAAACCAAGAGTTGCTTTTTTGTAAAGATAAAGAAGTGGACAAAACTTTAGCTAGAGTAACTAAGAAAAAAGAGAGAAAACTCAAATAATTAAAATCAGAAATGAAAGAAGAGACAACAGAACTAATGCAACAGAAATAAAAACAATTATAAAATACTATTAACAATTATGCAAATAAATTGGATGATTATAAGAAATGAACAAATGTCTGGGAACATACAAATTACCATGAATGAACTATAAAGCATAGAAAATATGAATAGATCTGTAACTATTAAGGAGGTTGAATCAGGAATCAAAAATCTCCCAACTAGGAAAAGCCCAGGGATAGTTGGCCATAGTGGAGAATTCCACCAAATAGTTAAAAAATATTTAATGACAATTCTTCTAAAACTCTTCAAAAAATTGAAAAGGAAACACTTCTTAACACATTTTATGAGGCCAGAGTTACCCTAGTACCAAAGCCAGATATACAGGAAAAATAAACTACAGGACAACATTTCTGATTAACACAAAAGCAAAAATCCTCAATGAAATACTAGCAAACTAACCTCCACAACATACTTAAAAGATTGTACATGATGACCAAGTGGGATTTATCCCTGGAATGCAAGAATGTTTTAACATATGAAAATCAACAATTATAATACTTCATGTTAATAGAATGAAGGACAAGAATTAGATGTTCATCTCAATTAGTGCAGAAAAAGAATTTGACAACATTCACCACCCTTTCTTAAAAAAGTACTCAACAAATTGAGAATAGAAGGAAACTACCTCAACATAATAATGATCATATATAAAAAGCCCACAACTAGCATCACACTCAACAATGAAAAAAGCAAAAGTTTTACTGCAAGATTAGGCAATGATTATCACTCTCATCATTTCTACTCAACATAGTACTGGAAGTCCTAACAGGAGAAATTAGGCTAGAAAACAAACAAAAGTCAACCAAATTTGAAAGAAGGAAGTACAGTTATTTTTGTTTGAAAATGACATGACCTTATATGTACAAAACCGTAAAGATTTCACACACGAATATATAAGGAAACTTGTTAGAACTAATAAACAAATTCAGTAAAGTTTCAGGATAAAACCTCAACACTCAAATTTATTAGTTGGGAACTTTTTGGAGGAAAAATGTGAGAACTTAATGTATTCATGTAATTTGGAAGATTAAATCAGTGTGATTGGAATATTCGTCACCATAAATACTTGTCTTTTATTTATGCTAGAAACGTTTGAATTATTATATTCAAGCTACTTTGAAATAAACAATGGATTATTGGAAACTATAGTCACCCTACTGATCTATAAAACACTAGGTTTATTTCTTCCATCAAATTCTCTATCTGTATCCATATATAAACCTCTCTTTGTCTCCCCCCTCCTCAGCACCCTTCTTGGCCTTTGGCAACCACTAACCTATTTTCCATCTTCATGAGACCCACTTCTTTAGCTCCCACGTATGAGTGAGAACATGTGATATTTGTCTTTCTGTGTTTGGCTTATTACACTTAACATAATTGTCTCCAATTCCATCCAGGTTGTTGCAAATGACATGATTTCATTATTTTTTATGGAGGAATAGTATTTCATTGTGTACGTATACCACATTTTCTTTTTTATTCAACTATTGATGGACACTTAGGTTGATTCTATGTTTTGGCTATTGTGAATGCTGCTGCAATAAACATGAGAGTACAGGTATATCTTCAATATGTTGATTTTCTTTCTTTTGGATATATACTCAGTAGTAGAATTTCTGGAACATATTGTAATTCTAATTTTAGTTTTATGAGGAACCTCTATACAGTTTTCCATAATGACTGTACTAATCTACATTCCCACCAACAGTCTATGAGTGTTCCCCTTCCTCCACATCCTTGCTAGCATCTTTTATTCCCCGTATTTTGGATAAAAGCCATTTTAACTGGAGTGGGATGATATCTCATTGTGGTTTCGATTTGCATTTCTCTGATGATTAGTGATGTTAAGCATTTTTTTATATAACTGTTGACCATTTGTATTTCTTCTTTTGAGAATTGCTTATATTTTTTGTCAATTTTTTAATTGGTTTATTAAGGTTTCTTTTTGCTATTGAGTTGTTTGAGCTCCTTATATATTCTGATTAATAATCCCTTGTCAGATGGATAGTTTGCAAATGTTGTCTCCCATTCTGTGGGTTGTATCTTCACTTTTTTCATTATTTCCTTTGCTTCACAGAAGCTTTATAGCTTGATACAGTCTCATTTGTGTATTTTTGCTTTGGTTGCACATGCTTTTGAGGTCTTATATTAAAAAGTCTTTGCCCAGACCAATATCCTGGAGCATCTGCAATGTTCTCTTTTAATAGTTTCATAATTTCAGATCTTAGATTTAAGCCTTTAATCAATTTTGGTTTGCTTTTTGTACATGTGAAGAAATGGGGACCTATTTTTTTTCTTTTGCATATGGATATCCCATTTTCTCAGCACCATTTATTGAAGAGATTGTCCTTTCCCCGTTATATGTTCTTGGTGCCTTTGTTGAGAAAGAGTTGGTTGTAAATATATGATTTTATATGTGGGTTCCTCATTCTGTTCTATTGGTCTATGTGTCTATTTTTATGCCAGTACCATACTTACATCATTGCTATAGCTTTGAATTATATTTGAAGTCAGGTAGTGTGATGCCTCCAGCTTTGCTCTTTTTGCTCATAATTGCTTTGGCTATTCAGGGTCTTTTGTGGTTCCAATATGAGTTATAGGATTGTTTTTCTCTATTTGTGTCAAGAATGTCGTTGGTATTTTGATAGGGTTTGCATTGAATTTCTAAATGTCTTTGGGTTGTATTGTTATTTTAATAATATTATTTCTTCCAATCCATTGGCATGGAATACTCTTTTTGATGTTTCTTTTCTGTGTATTTATAAATAACCTTTGAGCTAATTTTTTCCTCTGCTTGATTTATGCTGCTGTTGAGAGCCTGTAATAAATTTTTTAGTTCAGCAAATATATTTCTCTGTTCCAAGATTTCTTTTTTAAACATTTTTTATTTTAAATTTTTGTAAGTACCTAGTAGGTGTACATATCTGTGGTGTTCCAAGATTTCTGTTGAATTTTATTATTGCTATTTCTACCTCTTTGTTAAATTTCTCTGATAAATTTCTGGATTGCTCTTTTGTGTTATCTTGGAGATCACTGAGTTTTCTTAAAACTGCTATTTTGAATTCTTGGTCAGAGAGTTCACATATCACAGTCTTGTTAGGGTCAGTCAGTGGTTTCTTGCTTTTTTCAGTTGGGGAGACCATGGTTCCTTGATGTCATTGTTTCCTGTGGATGTACAACTATGTCTTTGCATTGAAGGATTAGTTATTTATTCCAGTCTTCCCTGTCTGGTTTGTTTCGTTTTTAACTGCATATGTTTGCTTAGAGATTCTTCACCATTTTCCTGTTGATTTTCTTTCTCTTTTTTACCACCAGGTTTCTGGCTCCTTTTTGCCACTAGATAGTGCTTTAAGCCCAGTTTTGCCTCAGTTGTAGCACATAAGCACAGTGTTTCCTATTCTGAACAGGAGAGGTTCCAAAGGGGTTAACCCAGTAGTATGAGAAGTCTGTTGATATGGTTTGAATATTTGTCCCCACTCCAAGCTCGTGGTGAATTTTAATCCCCAGTGCTGGAGGTGCAGCCTGGTGGGAGGTGTTTGGATCAAGGGGGCAGATCCCTCATGGCTTGGTACTGTTTTCATGATGGTGAGTACTTGTGTGAGCTGGTCATTTAAAAGATTGTGGCACCTCCCCCACTACTCTCTCTCTTGCTCCTGCTTTCACCATGTGACGTGCCTGGTCCTTCTTTGCCTTCTGCTATCATTGTCAGCTTCCTGTGGCCTCTCCAGAAACTGAACAGATGCCAGCACCATGCTTCCTATAAAGCCTGCAGAACCATGAGCCAATTAAACCTCTTTTTTCCCTAAATTATCCAGTCTCAGGTATTTCTTTATGGCAATGCAAAATGGCCTAACACAGCTGGCTAAGAGTTTATTCCCCAAGGACCTGTGTAATAAATATCCTACAGTGTGGTGCTACTGAACAGTCACTCTGATTTGGCATCTCCTACGGCTGAATTACAGAGCAGAGTTTCCAGTGCTGAGGATGGTACCTTCTCCCTTTATCTCTGGCTGTCCTCGGAGATATTTATCTCTTTAGGCACTCCTAATGCTTCCTGTGGATTGAGTCATGAGCAAGTCTCTTATCCGGGAACCCAAAATAATGGAGAACCTAGTTGTGTACCTCAATTTGACTTTTTCCTGTGTAGAAACTGTGAGTCAGGGGAAATTTTTTGCACACTTGGTGCTGGTGAGATTGGCAGGAGGAGCATTGCAGGTATGGAAGTTTGATTCTTTTACTGTCTACTTGGAGTTTTTCACATCTCTGTGGCCCTGGGAATTGTCTTATTCCCATATTTGACTACTATGATATTGCTGATGATAATCTCAGTGTTGCATGTCTGTTCTTGGTTTTCTGTGAGGTGAGGAGGTAGTAAAGACAACTTACTTCTACACCACCATTTTCCTCAATTGGGTTTCTATATAGTAAAAATGAAAAATCTTTTAAAAAATGAGAAAATATTCCTATTTACATAGCATCAAAAATAATAAAATACTTTAGAATAAACTTAACGGAGGTGGTAAAAGATGTGTACAGTGAAAACTACAAAACACTGAAGAAAGATATTAGAGAAGACACAAATAAATGGAATGACATCCTGTGTTCATGGGTTGGATTAATATTGTTAAAATATCCATATAACCTGAAGTATTTTACAGATTAAATCCAATTCCTATTAAAATTTCATTGATTTTTTTGAAGAAATAAAGTCTAAAATTTATATGGAATCTCAAAGGATCCTGAATAGTCAAGCTGATCTTGAGAAAGAATAAAGCTGAAGGCCTCACGCTTCCTAATTTCAAAGCATATTACAAAATCTACGGTAATCAAAACAATATGGTACTGATATAAAGACAGACTTATTGACTACTGAAACAGAATAGAATGTTCAGAAATAAACCTTCATGAACTTGGCCAGTTGATTTTTGACAACAGTGCCAAAACTACACAATGGCATAAAGATAGTCTCTTCAACAAATGATTCTGGGAAAACTTAATATCCACACACAAAAGGATGAAGAGGCACCTTTGTGTTACACCATATACAAAAATCAACTCAGAAAGGATTAATGACATAAATGTTAGACCTGAAATGGTAAAACTCCTAGAAGAAAACATTAAGGAAAGGCTTCCTGAAATTGGAATGGGCAATGATTTGTTGGATATGACACCCAAAACACATGCAACAAAATCAAAAATAGACAAATGGGACTACATCAAACTTAAAAACTTCTGCCCAGCACAGGAAATAATTAACATACTAAACAGGCAGCCTACAAAATGGGATAATATATTTACAAACCACTTACCAGATAAGAAGTTAATATAAAGAATGTATAAAGAATGCCTACAACTCAATAATATTAAAAAGCATGACTAAAAAATGGTCAAAGGTTCTCTGCACATTGCACCATACTGGGAGTCCAGGTGCCAAGGAAGGGAGAAGGAAAAAGAAAGGGCCATGTGCAAATACCATGGCTGCCATCTTGTTTGAGCCCCCACTTCACACCCTCTGTTCTCTATAATGCATGCTTCTTCCCTCTCTACCCTGCCTGGGCCCTCTGCATTGCCCTGCTTAGCAGGAGTGCAGGGAGAGTTCCTGCTCTTCCCTGGACTCCTGTATGGAGGCATTTTTCAAAATGGAGGCATTGCCAAAATGATTTTGTGGCACTAGCAGCAGTAATGCCCAGTAAAGCCTACAGTCCTTTTGGGCTTCACATCCTGGAAGAAATCCAGAATTTAACAGTGAAAGATTTACTAGTGCAGGAACTTCCACGGCTGGTATTAAGAAGATTATGAAACTGAATGATGTAAAGATGATCAGTAGAGAAGCTCCTGTGCTCTTTGCCAAGGCAGCCCAGATTTTTATCACAGAGTTGACTCTTTGAGCCTAGATTCACACATAGGCTAAAAAGCACTGGACTCTATAGGGAAATGATGTCACCATGGGAATTACAAAATTAGATCAGTTAAACTTTCTCATTGATATTGTTTTGACAGATGAACTGAACCCTCCAAAGCGTCAGGAGGAGGTGTGCCAGTCTATAACTCCTGCCAAGCCCATCTAGTACTACTTCATGCTGGCTTAGCAGCCCTCCACGGTCCAAGTCTAGGGACAGCAGCAAGGCCAGGAGACCACCAGCTCTATGACCACCATCCAGCTTGGGTAGATCATCATGCAGCCTCAGCAGGGCCAAATCATGCCCCTGACAGTGCAGGTTGGAGAAGGTTGGCAGGTGCAGATTGTCCAGGCCCAACCACAGGGTCAAGCCTAACAGTCCTAGAGTGACACTGGACAGACTATGGAAGTTATGCAACAGATTATTACTAAAACAGGAGAGATCCAGCAGATCCCAGTGCAGCTGAAGTTGGGCCAGCTAGAATATATTCTCTTAGTCCAGCCTGTATCAGGTACTCAAGTCGTGCAGGAACAGATATAGATGCTTGCCACCAATGCCCAACAGATTACATAGACAGAGGTCCAGTAAGGACAGCGGCAGTTCAACCAGGTCACAGATGGACACAAGCTCTACCAGATCCAGCAAGTCACCATTCCTGTGGACTAGGACCTCACCCAGCCCATGTTCAACCAGTCAGTCAACCAGCTCTCCTACAGGCAGAACCCCCAGGTGACCCATGACTGAGAGTCTGAGCTGGCAAGGCCAAGGACACCCAACACAATTTTTGCCATACAGCCTTATGGTTATGGGTTATGGGCATAGCCTCCCTCCCCAGAGGACCCGGCTGACTTCAGCACCTCCTGCAGGCCAGGACACTGGGGCACTTAGACCTCACGCCTGGGGCCTGAGATTCTTCAACAGAAAAATATAATTCTTTTTGTTTTCTTTTTTCCATTTATTTTCCTCCAAGGAATCAATATTTCAATATGTCGAGCTGTGTGTCCAATGCTATGAAATGAAAATATTAAATGACATATTTACGACATTTTGTTGAAGAGCGTGGTTTAAGAAATATTTCCCCGTTTGTTTTTCCTTTTTTTTTTTGGTTCTCACTGCCACTTCTTTTTAGGTGCAAATCTCCCAGGAGTGTCCTGTATCTCCTGACTCTTGGAACAACTGCTGCCCCCAAGATTTACCACCTTTTCTACCCTCAGATTGAGTTACGTGAATGTATATAGCTTCATTTTCAGCAGCGATCCTTTCCCCTGACCTCTGTGTTTTTGTATCCCGAGGCCGTGGAAACATTCCTTGCATTTAAGAGACAAATTCATTCCCCACGGAGAGTGGGTGAGTTCATTCCTACACCCTTCTTTCCCAGGGACCCAAGAAGACTAGAACTTTGGGCATTTGCTGCCCACCACCCTTTATTTTAAAATGCATTAAAAATTGTGCAAGTTTCCTTTGCTGCATGGACTTCAAACTACATAAAATGCAATAAATCTCGTTTTAGATTAAAATAGTGGGCAAAGGACTGGAACAGACACTTTTCCAAAGAAGTTATACAAATAGGCAAAAATCACATGAAAAAGTGTGCAACATCATTAGTGATCAAGAAAATGCAAACCACTGTCTCAATGAGATATCGTGTCATACCTGTTAGGATGGCCACTATCAAAAAAAACAGAAAATAACAAGTTTTGGTGAGGATGTGGAGTAATTGAAATCGTTACACATTGTTGTTGGGATTGTAAAATTGTGCAGCCACTGTGGAAAACAGTATTATGTTTCCTCATAAGTTTGAAAATAGGAGCACTACTACTATATGATCCAGGAATCTTACTTCTGGGTATTTATCCAAAAGAATTAAAAATTGAATCTTGAAGAGATATTTGCACATCCATCTTCACTGCAGCAATATTCACAATAGCCAAGATGTGGAAGCAACCCAAATGATCATGGATGGAGGAATAGATAAACAAAATGTGGTACATATACAATCAAATATTATTCAGTATTAAAAGAGAAGGAAATCCCAGCACTTTGGGAAGCCGAGGTGGGTAGATCACCTGAGGTCAGGGGTTCAAGACCAGCCTGGCCAACATGGTGAAACCCCATCTCTACTAAAAAATACAAAAGTTGGCTGGGTGTAGTGACAAGTGCCTGTATTCCCAGCTACTCAGGAGGCTGAGGCAGGGAGAATTGCTTGAATCTGGGAAGTGGAGGTTGCAGTGAGCCAAGATCACGCCACTGTATTCCAGCCTGGGCAACAGAGCGAGACTCCATCTCAAAAAAATAAATAAATAAATAAAAAGAGAGAGAGAGAGAGAGAAAGAAATCCTGGCACAACAACATGGATCAACCTTGAGGACATCATGCTAAGTGAAATAAGTTAATCACAAACACATATATAAGATAACTAAATTAAACAAACTTACAGAAACAGAAAATTGAATTATGGTTGTCAGGGTAGAGGAAGGGGAAACGGGCAGTTTTATCAATGGGTAATAGACTTTCAGCCATGCAAGATGAAAAAGTTCTAGATAGATATCTGCTGTACAACATCGTGCCCATAGTTAAAAATACTGTACTTGTCAACTTAAAAATTGTTTAGAGGGTATATTTATTGTGTCTGTTTTACCACAATAAAGAAAATGGGTTGATTAATGTGGAGGACATGAAACTGCACCTCTCAAATACTCCTTCAAAATAGGACTTGCTGCCCAGCTATGTGGAGTTCTGTTAGCTGACTATCTTCTTTTGTCAGCTCCTACAGAATTTGTCTCAGCTGCAGAGTGTCTCCTGGTTAAACCCCACCTGGCAACCCATGTCCCCTGACTGATGGGGCTTAGAGACCCAGACATTTTATCCTGATTGCAGAGACTCTGAAAGACAATACCGGGCTCCTACTTGATTTGGCCAATGACTCGTGGAACCTGCATAGCTGTTCTTCCTTTGTCCAAATATGCTTCCTCCCATTTTCTTAAGCAGAAATCGATCTCTGTCTGCTTCCCACAAAACCAATTGCTGAAAATTCTTGACTGAATGTCACACTTTTGGCGACCCTGCTGATAGTTACAATACAGTCTTTTCTGGTAGTCGAAATATATCTTCGATGAGGATCTCAAATTCTTTCCATCTGTCCATCCATACATCTGTCATCCTACATATGCAGTCAAAACTTCCAAGTGTCTTTTATGTGCTATGTGCTGGCTTCTGTCTTTAAAAAGCTTTTACTCAAACAGAATAAATAAAACATTTATGTGCAAGATGACTATGAAAGGAGTAGGGCAGAAATAGAAAGTAAATAAACTCTGCCAGACTGACACAATATAGAAGCACAGAATTACAGTGGTGGTAGTGAGAGTGAAAAGGGATGGATAGGAAAAAAGAGTGATTTTTGGTGAAAAAAACATAACAGGAGGTGGTGACTGATGGCAATGTGAGACATCTAAAATCCTTTGAAAGGAAAAAAAACTAAAAAGCATCGTATAGGTGCATATAGGCTTTCACAGATCAATTGCTGTAGCTTGCTCTAAACATCTTAAAAGTTTATCCATTGAATAGAACAAACTTTAAACCTTGTTAATGAAAGTCATGTTCTAGTTATAACTAGCACGTGGTTTTAAAAATCCTAGGTCTTTCTTGCTGGTTTGGTTACTGTGATCAGTGAAGTAGTTCTTTTATTTTATTTGTTAATTAAATAACCTATATCCCACTGATATCCCACATATAACATTTCTAGTGATTAGTAACTACAAACTTGATTAGCCAATTTATTGAAATCACTATGCACATTGATTCTGTTTTAAATTTTTTTGATGTCTCTCTTTCCTCCTACATTTACTCTATAGTTCTCTTGATAACTGTTAACTTCAACAGTTAAAATTCAAGGTTTAATATGGGTTTATTTTTAAGGGTTTATTTTTCCAATTTCTAAGTCCAGCAGCAAATCTTAGCTCCATGATCTTAATAATATTTCCTCTGTAACAGTGAGAGTCAGTCTCCAACTGAATTTTGTAGCAATCAAGGTTTGTAAATATCTAAATCTAACCTTTTGCAGTGTCTTGCTAGACATAATGCTTTCCTGTTATTATACTCTAGCCTGTATTCAAGCTGAAGAGCAGTGGTTTTATACTTTTCGAATACTGAAAATGTTTTAACCTAAAGCTACTAGATCCTCTGCATGACAGTACTTACATTTTACTCTGTCATTGTTGTTTTTGAAACAACAATTTACTCTAAATTCAACAACACTTTGAAGGAAATTTTTATTGTACTAAATATTAGGGCATGAACTGAAATCCATAAGATCATGTTTAAAAACATCTTATGCAAATCATTTGTTAGACGGTTGTGCATGAGGACAAGTGGAGTGTGTCAACTGCTTTTTATGATTTTGCTGCCCCTCAGGTGTCCCCAGTCCAGAAATTGGAAACCATTTTCAAAGATGATGGAGATTCATTAATAATTTTAGCACTGCAAGACTATTAATGATAATAAGCAGAGATGTTTTGGATAGATTTCACAGAACCCTTATTGGAAAAGAACAAAGCAATTAAAGGTAAATAAAGTTTGTCTGTTTCCCTATCATTGGATTTACATCCAATGGGAACATTCTGAAAAAAAATCATTTATTTTTGGAGAATTAGTGTGGTAAGGCAGCCTTAGACTATACTTGGTACATTGCAGTTCCCAGATAATTTTATTTTTTACTTTCCTTCTGTGACACTCCTGTGTGGTCACGTGTCCCTGGGTAATCACACCTTCTGCAATCATATTCCCTCTGAAAGCGATGCCAGATCATTGCCTGGCTTCCTAAGCTTTTGTGGTCATTTCATTATGGCCTAGTTGGTCTAATAACTATACTCTTGCTTAGGCATTAATACCGAACTTTCAAGCTACAAATTTATAAACAACAATATTCTTCTTTAGCATTGTTCTAATCAATGAGAATACGCATTTCATAGTGTGGTTTCAAGCATTTGACTGATGATTGGGGAAAAATATTTTAATAGAGGATTCTATAAGATGGAGTTCTATCATGATACAGAGTTTATGATCTTTTTAAATGACTTATAAAGCCAACTTTGACCTTAGTCTTTGTAAAACCCCCTTCGTTTAGAATAGTTTGATTCCAGATATTCCAGGCATAACTGTGACTTCTTTTGGCTTAGTTCACTTCAAAAACCATAAAATCTTCTAAGATATAAAATGAAAATAACCTACAAATATTATCTAGTCTATTATTTAGATAGATCATGGCTGTCTTAAGGTGCATTAAGAAATTTGAATGAATTGCTTAATAAAACTGTGCCTGCTGTGTTCATATGAGTTTATGTCATCATGGTGAAAGTTTTAGCTTTTTGTTACCAGCAGGTTGCAGATGTTGATTCACATAATATATTTAAGGCTTTTGTCCCTGCTCAAGATTCCTTGGGATTCACCATTAAATATGTAAGGATGAAAACAGGAGAAAAGCTATTATTTCATATAGTTTTACAAATTATTTTTAGATTCAGCCGCCTTAAGTATTTTAAGGCTTATCACATTACCAGAACAATCTACCATACATCACATTTCTACTCTTTGGATATTAAGACAGTGCAATTTAGTACTTTGTTAAAGTAATCTTGTGTATCTTTCTGAATACTTAAAGTATAAATTTTGCCTTTGTATATTTTTGTAATCATAGTTATTTACATATATATTTGTAAAGACAAAATTTATAAATTTAGAGTATATATACGTGCATATATGTATATACACACATACACACATATGAGCTCTTGCTGAAACAAATATATTTAGGGACTGGTAATTTCTCCTTTTTATCACAATTCATTTTTGTTTGTTTCTTTGATTTTTGAGATGGAGTTTCGTTCTTGTTGCCCAGGCTGGAGTGCAATGGCACTATCTCGGCTCACTGCAACCTCCGCGTCCCAGGTTCAAGTGATTCTTCTGCCTCAGCCTCCCGAGTAGCTGGGATTACAGGCGTGCACCACCATGCCCAGCTAATTTTTGCATTAGTAGAGACGGGGTTTCACCATGTTGGCCAGGCTGGTCTTGAACTCCTGACCTCAGGTGGTCCACCCGCCTTGGCCTCCCAAAGTGCTGGGATTACAGGAGTAAGCCACCACGCCCAGGCTCACAATTTATTTTTGGGAACCACATTGTGTTAGTCCGTTTTCACACTGCTATAAAGAAATACCTAAGACTGGGTAATTTATAAAGGAAAGAGGTTTAATTGACCCACAGTTCTGCATGGCTGGAGATGCCTCAGGAAACTTACAATCATGAGGAAGGTGAAGGGGAAGCATGCTTGGGCCTTCTCACATGGCGACAGGAGAGAGAAGAAGGGAAGGACAAAGCGGGAAGAGCCCCTTATAAAACCATCAGGTCTCATGAGAACTCACTCTCTGTCATGAGACCAGTATGGGTGAAACCACCCCCATGATCCAATCACCTCCCACCAGTCTTTCCCTTGACATGTGGGGATTAAAATTTGAGATGAGATTTGGGTGGGAACACAAAGTCAAACCATATCACACATTTTGAACTGTGTTAACAACAGATTATAGTATATTCCTTTAGGGACATTCTCTTGGAAAGAAAATATATATTGATACATATTAATCAAATGTAATGACTTAAAATACTGAAAGTGGGTCCTAAGAGAGATTTTCAGATTTTTCAAATTTTTTATAGAAATTCCATTCTGTTTATTTTACCAAATTACTGGGTATCCAGCAATTGAGATGATTCATGTGAAAACAACATATAAATTTAAGATACTGCTAAATAAACATGTATCTGTATATTTGATGAATATCTGTGGATCTCTTATGTGATCTAAAGAAGACTCTGCATTTAGTCTGCTATGCTGCAAATCAGTGGAAGACATTCATATTTGCAACATACTGGAATGGATTTAAGAAAATTGAGATTATATAAGAAAATCTATTTTAGAGCACTAAATTAATTAATGTATAATTGCTAGAACTGTTAAATTTATAAATAACAGAGACTTTATGGCCTGCAGATAGCATATATTCTTTGTTATTGCAATGCCTAGAAAAGTTAGCTGTAACTCTGCTCCTTTTTCTCCTGTCTACAAAAAGATTATTGAAAGACATATAAGTAAAAGTAACATTATTGTCAGGAATATTTTGAGTCCAATTTGAATTTTGAAAATGAATAAATCAAAACTCTGGAACTGTATTCCTAATTAACAAAATGACTTGTGATAGAGTCATTTTTATGTCTTATGACACCATGGATAAACTACCATTATAAATATACATTACAGCACTAGAATTAAAATGCACTATTCCATCAATTGTCCTAACATAAATATACTATCTATAGTAAATATTACATATTTGAATAAACATTAACACTTTTCTACATAAGAAAATTTACAGGTAAATATTTTTACTAACAGTTATTAAATTGAGAAATATTTTAAATATTCAGATGTGACTAGTGTAAGCTTCTTTACAAAGCTTACTGAAGAAACTTCGTTTTCTAGAATAACTTTCCCTGAAGCAAGCATAATCATTCAAAATTATTTCACTGATATTATGTTTTTACTTAAATAATAGGTGGATGGTAACAAACACTTCTTTTGGATGGTGATAGTGCTGGTAGAGGAGTACACAGCGGAAAACATTTTCAAAGAGGTGATGTAACATCTTTTCATTTTTCTGTTTCTAAGTGTATTTAGTACAATAAAAAGCATTGTGGCACTTCAATCCAAAGCAGTGTTAGCACTGAACTCTTTGTTAACCATGTACAGCCACTCCCAGTTTTGCAGACATAATTTCAGGTTTAGTTGCCTCATGGAGAAAGTTTAGATACACAATTCTATTAAGACTAGAGATACCTGCTCTTAGAAACCGTAACCTAGCACTCTGCCTTCTCCTCTTGTTTTAACCCTGTTGCTATGAATTAAAGCACATTCAATCAAATTCCTTTTCGAACACTAGATCTGTTAAAAATATGTTTAGGAACCTTATGAACCTTAGTTAAGACCAGAAAGAAAGAAATAATATTACAATCTTACTGTACGTGATATATTGTCTATAGACCTTCACAGCACTTCAGATGCTATTGGAAAGCAATAAAATAATGTAATTAAAAAGCTCTTTATCACAAATATTTAATATGAAGCTTCAAAATTTCAACTCTGAGATAATTTGGAATAAACAAGGTTAAAAGTAGCTTATTTCACTAATGAGGAGCAAAGACTTCAAGATGTGAGATTAGAGTGTCATTATTCTCCAGCTAATTACTGGGCAGATGAATAGTGAGACTCTATACACCTTCTGTAATGTGTTACAGGTACTTATCAGGCATTCAACTCAAAATTTTGATACTTAACACCATCATTTGCATCTTATTGGTTATTCTCTACTGTGAATTTAAAAATTCTTCGGTGATGTACATTTGTGTTTGAGGCTTTTAAAAGATAATTTTGTTTGCTTTCCCTTTTTATTCATGACAGTGACCCCTTTTCTATAATCCAACAGTGAGAAGGAGTAGAAAATAGAATTAAAACAGTAATGCGCGCCTGGGACTGGGAAAAGAAATATGGTGCTTGTGTGTTCATGCAAGTCTCTGTGTGTGTGCATTACACTGAGGGAGACAAATGTATTAGACTGAATCACATAAAACTGCCGTTTGTGTAGTTGGTGATGTTATGTAGTTCAGCCCAATATTTTGAGGTTCTTTTGATGCCCACAGTCTTTGTACTAATCTAATTAGTGCCACTGAAGCTTCAGGCATATTCCATCATTATACTTATAACATGCAGAAACGTCTATTTTTATAAGAGAAAATTAAAGCAAGCACAAAACAACATCATGAGGACTTCAAAATACCAGTGAGAGTTTCATCACTATCAGGAAATTTTTGAGTCTACTTTGATCTCTTAAAAATAAATACATATTCCAAAAACTCTGATACTTCATTCTAGTTAAAAAAATATTAACTGTTATGCCATCACAAGAGATTGAGATATGCTTGAGTATGGCAACATCAAAAAATATTTATCTAGGATCAACTTGATAAACTCTGAAAGAAAATATCTCTATATGGTAGTTTTAGTTAAAAGTTATACAGACATTAGAATGGCATGTTAAATAAGTAAAATTTGCATAAATAACAAAGAAATAATCATTTTCATAATAGGAGTTTAAAATTATTTCCTAATTTATATAGCTCTTAAATTTGATTCAGAAACTATGTTTTAATGAAGCAATCTGAAACAGATCTGAATTATCACTCCTTAATTACTTCTTTAATTATTTATATAATAATAAGAACAAAATAATCTAAGGCATGAGAGTTCTAAAGACAATGTCCCATAATCCTAGCTTTCTATGTTTAAGATTGAAAGCACCCATGCTATGAAAATATAGGCATTACAAATATACATTTTTAGAATTGTGATATTAGAACTATTATCCCAGCTGTGAATCAATGGCATTTATTGTGTACTGATTTATATCAGAGACTAAGAGATTCCTGTCATAGAACCCTTAGCAGAAGTAAGCCAAATGATATTGTTTGATGAACAAATTCTAAAAAATATGGACTAATAAATAATTAATAAAAATATTTGAAAATTAAGTTATACAAAAGGATACATCATAGTAAAAGTGTTAAGAATAATTGATTTTCATTGAATTAGACCAATTATCTTCATATTTCTTAGTTTCATGTAGTTATAAAAGACTGCTATTTTTAGACAACCTCTTGAATGAATATAGAGTAATTGATTTCCTATAGTTCTAAACCAGAGGAATGATGCATAGCCTGAAGTTTGTAGAAAATAGTGATAATTTCTGAGTGTGATACTTGAAAACAGATATACCTATCCTGTAAATTTGTATTTATAGAAAATAAAACAAATTTATGCATGTACTTCCTCATGATGCTATAAGAGGTATCTGGTTTATTTTTCATCTGCTAATAATGCTGTCCTATGCTGTGCTTTTCAATTTTGGGACCTGGCTCAGTAGTTTTTAGCTCTAAAAACCGACAATTTAGCTGCATGATGGAGTCCTTCCAGAAGACTTTACATGCCCTGTGAACCCCAGATACCTGAGACAGGTCTCAATCAATTTAGAAAGGTTTTTTTTTTTTTTTTTTTTTTTTTTTTGCCAAGGTTTAGGGTGCACCCATGACACAGCCTCAGGAGGTCCTGATGACATGTGCCCAAGGTGTTTGGGGTACAACTTGCTTTTATACATTTTAGGGAGACATAATATATCAGTCAATACATGTAATGGCTTACAATGGCTCCATCTGAAAGGGCAGGACAACTCGAAAGGGGAGTGGACTTTCCAGGACATAGGTAGATTTAAAAATTTTCTGATTGGTAATTAGTTGAAAGAGTTATTATTAACAGAAAAGAATGTCTGGGTAAGATAAGGAATTGTGGAGACCAAGGATTTATCATGCAGATAAAGCCTCCAAGTAACAAGCTTCTGCGAGAATAGATTGTAAAGGTTTCTTATCATACTTAAGGTCTCTGTTGATGGTAATACTGGAGGGGTACAATGAGGCATGTCCAACACCCTCTTCCATCATAGCCTGAACTAGATTTTCAGGTTGACTCCCCAAATGCCCTTGTCTGAGAGGAGGGATCCATTCAGATGGTTGAGGGGGGACTTAGAATTTCATTTCTGGTTTGCATTCTCCCGCTTCTGGCCAAGATTTGCCAAATGCAAGATTTGCCAAATGCCACGAAATTTTTACTCTGTCCTATAGCATTGCTGGAATGACATGGTTGCCTGCCCCAGGTCCATCCTGTCCCTTGGTAAGACTCCCTGTGCCCAAGGAACTTAGAGTATTAATAAAAAGACTTAGAGCCAGTTGAATGCTTTAGGCCAGATAGGAATGGATGTGGACATGCATTCTTTACCCCTTGAATTTTTTTTAAGTAAAAAGTCAACAAACAAAAAACCAAAGACGAGGTTACAAAACTGACTTATCTTTAACGTCTATGCTTTGAGCTACGGTGATATTGGTTTAATTACAGACTTATGGCAATGAAGTATACAAAACTTAAGGTTTGTTCTGAAATTTTTAATTTTATTTGTTTATAAAATGTATTTATTTATAAATTTATTTATCAATTTTAATTATACTTATATGTATATATTTGCATGACTCATAACAGGGAGTATTATACCCAGGAGGCTTTGTCATGGGGTGTCTTTATCCTCTAAGTAGTTATTTTTTTAATTCTACAGGAAGCAGGAAATTATGGTTGGGATGGATGAAAAGGTGCCACATAAAAGCGCAGAAGGCAAAATCTCTTGTTTTATAATCTGTTTAGGTATCTGTATACCCACTCTTGATTTGGAGGGTGTGATCTTGACCTAATTCTATGACTCAAAACCAGCCCTTACAATCTCATGCACCTACCTTTTCCATGACAGTCCCTGGACCTAGAGGGAGGGTTCTTGTATAGTCTTAGCAGGAGGACATTTGCAGTGAAAAAAACAGATCAGGCCCAGTGGAATGCCAAATGAGGGAAATTTGCATCTCTGGACTTCAGAGTACCATTATTTTGTTTTCCTTGAAAGTAAAACAAGGAGAGATAAATAACATTAATATTTTGACAATCAAAAGAGTATTTGTGTGTCAAAACAGAAAAAGAAAACTATTCCATTAGGCACCAATTACAAATAGGAAGAATAATCTAGTACTCTCTAGAGTAGTAGAGAGTACTACTCCTGGGCCACAGACCGGTACATGTTTGTGTCCTGTTAGGAACTGGGCTGCACAGCAGGAGGTGAGTGGCAGGCGAGAAGCATTACCAACTGAGCTCCACCTCTTGTCACATCAGTGGTGACATTAGATTCTCATAGGAGCGTGCAAACCCCATTGTGAACTGCACATGGAGGGATCTAAATTACGCGCTCCTCATGAGAATCTAACTAATGCCTGATGATCTGAGGTAGAACAGTTTCATCTCAAAACCATGCCCCCGATCCATGGAAAAATTGTCTTCCATGAAACTGGTCCCTGGTACCAAAAAGGCTGGGGACCACTGCTCTGGAGGATTATCGTAGCCTTAAGTTGGCTTTGCTGGAACTTTACCTTAAAATATGTTATCATGGTCAAAGCCTTGATAAAAATAACCAGTGTCTCCAAATGTCCTGTTTTAAAAGACTCTTACTAAACGTATGCAAATAACTATATTGTCTTAAGATCAGAATACTCGTGAACAGTTTCTGAATTTTGGAGAGCTCAGAAAGAAAATTAAATTTGCTCACAAAAGCATATTATACTTCACCCAATTGCTCTATACTATAAATAAAAGAAAAAGATTTGCTTGATTCTTTAATCAGAGCAGTGGCTTTCAAACAGGGTATTGTTTGTTCACCTTGGAACTGCTGTCCACAAGCCAGACAGCTCTTGTTATCTGAGAGTTGTCTATCAGGCACTGTAAAATCTAGCAGCTCCTCACATAGTTGGAATCAGTCCTAGGGGGAAAAAACAGGCTCCCTGCTTATGAGTATTCTCCCCCTTGCATTCCCTGGGTAGCAAGATCCTATATCCAAAGGATTTGGGTCCCAGCAAGGGGTTGGGCCAAGGGACTCAGGCCCTTTGGTTAATGTTTATCTCATTTGCCTCAACACTGTCCCAGGCAATGTCAGCTTTCTCATGATAACCTTTGCCTATTTGTTTATTTATTTATTTTTAAATTTTCAATCTGGGGCAAATAGTGAATGACCATCCAAAAATTTCAATCACCTTTCTGGGGCAAATCCATTGACTCCCTTTTTCCTTTTCCTTTTCTAATTACTCTAATATTTTATGAAGCATCTATAAGACCCATAAGGGACAGCAAATTTGATAGGGCTTCTCAAACAGTCACATGAGTCTGCAAGAGCAATGTTTCCCAGAGTGCCCACGTAAACGGAACCCCGTTAACCCTTAACCCCCAAATTTAGCATGACCTGGGAAATAGACATGTTAGGTGGAAGAACATTCCAGTCATCATAAAACCAGTCTCAACGTGGCTTGCATATGAAGCATATCAGCTGCTTCATCTGGGGTGCTCCATTTGGCATTTTATAGAGAGAGCTGGACAGTCCCCTTCTCAGGGTAAACAGACCTTACAGTGGTATTTATCTGGTCCACTAGGTTGTTTGCGGGAATAACCTCTTGCGCATTTGGATCACATATACCATCAGTGATTATTTAACAATGAGCTGTGGGTCCTACATCAACCCAAACAAGCTCATTCTACAGCATTTATAATTAAGGAGTTTGTCCTTACAGTAACTATTTTTAAAATTCCTTATACTAAAGATGTCTCAAGAAGCTGATGATACAAATCTACAAAATGGAACAATTCCTTTACATTATACCCTCTGGTTTTAATAGTTACTTGGCTTTGCCCTTCCCCCACATTGACTATCTTCTTGGTAACCACAGGTCTCAGAGGTAACTTTTGTTGCCCTGGCTTAATGTTTCTTTTAATCCATTTAGTTTTATCTGTGTAATTTTTCCTTTATTTTAAAGCAACTCTTAATTAACTAGAAAAAAATTACATTTTCTTTTACAAAAAACACATGCTTGTGTTTTATGAACTTCAACAAAAACACCTTTTACACTCCTACTATTTTAACTCTTAGTAACTCAAATTCCCAGTTGGGGGGCAGGGGGAACAAAAACCCAGTTTACTTAATTTAACCTGACATGACTTTAAGATTTTAAACTGCTGGAGATAATTTTGAGATTAAATTCACCAAACTAATCTTACCAAAGATTACCAAGGTCATGTGAATTAAAAGGCATCTGAGCTAGCTTCCACCAGTCTGATAAGCACTCACTTTTTTTTTTTTTGAGATGGAGTTTTACTCTAGTTGCCCAGGCTGGAGGGCAATGATGCAATCTCTGCTCACTGCAACCTCCTTCTCCAGGGTTCAAGCGATTCTCCTGCCTCAACCTCCTGAGTAGCTGGGATTACAGGCACCCACCACTGTGCCTGGCTAATTTTTGTATTTTTAGTAGAGATGAGGTTTCACCATGCTGGCCAGGCTAGTCTTGAACCCCTGACCTCAGGTGATCCACCCACCTCAACCTCCCAAAGTGCTGGGATTACAGGGGTGAGCCACCACGCCCGGCCAGCACTCACTCATTGAAGTCAATTGATTAGTGCTCTTTTAGGTAATTTGGTAGTGAAATATTACTTCCACATGACACATATAAACATATAGATAAAACAGGAATGCAGAATAAAAAAGGCAGGTCCAAAAGATATTTCATTTGTCTGTTTACAAATTCTCTGTCTTAGACTATTAATTTTTAAAAGTTACAGGAGACAACAAAAGTTAAAGGAAGGAGTTACCATCTCAGGCCTACTCAGAAGAGAGAAGGAGCTAAAGTAACAGTGTACAGCTTCTGAGATATCAATCTGAATAATTTCATAAAGAAATAGATTGTGGAATTTAAAAATTAAAAACTTCTTGGATTAAGAGTAACAATACTTTTAATAAAATCATGTTTTAACCAGTTCTTTGGTTTTCTATGAGTGTATTTTTAATATCAAAGTTGAATTTTTAGAAAAACTATTTATTATGATTTTCTCTATAGCCAGTTAATAACATAACATTTTAACAAATTTATCTTTTACTAACCTTATTATGAGTTAGACCATTGAGGACATGCTTGGACTTTCTGGTTTGTCATAAATATTTTTATGTTTCGAACAACCCAGTCATTTTATTTTAGAATTAAAAACCAACATATAAGATCCTTCCTTATATGAAATTACTTTTCTTTTAAGCTTTCTTACCAAAAAATACTTCTTTATTTTGATAAGTTTCTTTACATTTTCATATTTTCTGATTCCTTTTACCTTGTTTTATATATAACCTTTAAATAAGCTTTGAATTACACAACAATTATTTACCTTTTAATAAAAACACATTTTCTAGAAAAAATGTTTTTCTAAAACATAATTTTTTTAAATTGGAAAATACCCAGACATTTAATGAAATATCTATTATTTAATTTATTATAACTTTAGATTCTAAATTGTGACAACTTTCTATACAAGTGTTTATTTCAATACATTTACCTAATTATTTTATTTTAATAGTTTACCTAGATTATTTATAAAAACTATGATAGTCATCATTTAAAGTTATTTCCCTGTTAACCATTTTAATAGCCTGTGAATTTCAGGGCTGTACCTAAATAAGAAACTTGTGATTAAATATATGATTATTCTACCTATAATTCAAGATTTAGCTGTTTTCATTAAACCAACAATATTAACATCTTATTTATCAAGAATTACAAAAGCAAAGATTATTCTGTTTTGGGCTGGGCTTATGGTTTTATAACCCTTATGCCAAATTTTGACACCTTATAGTATTTGGCAAGGATAAGTGTGAAATCTCTTGAACAATAAATGCAAACAAAAATGTATGCTGATAATTCTTAAGGCATTGCTGATATTACTTTACCAATAATATTAAAGCAAGCTTATTTTTTAAAGATTTTGCTTAAGTCATGTGAAATAGAAAAGCATTTAGTCTTATTATTTAATTTATAAATATTCTTTAACTTTAACCTAATTTGGTAACTTGTGGCCAAAAACACATAACAAAATGTGTGTTTGTACACATAAACACACACTTACACACTCATACAAAGATCCTATAACTTGTATATCAGAACTCTGGCCATGAGATATTAATACAAACTCACTGGTTTGCAAAAACAATAACAAGAAGAAATGGTTTTAAGGCAAGAGAATAGGGAATAAGGGTAACCAAGGGTTAAGGCATAAGCAAAAGAACAGCAGGTACGGCCAGTTCACATAAGCAGAAGAACAGCAGGTGCAGACAGTTCTAGGCAAGATTAGGCAGTATACAGGCCACATCCTCACGCCTGTGATAACAACACAGAAGCTTCCACTTCAGCCCCTGACTGCTCATAGGCCAGTCCTTCATAGGGTGTAACCAATTGGAGACCCTTAAAGGTGTGTTACCACATTGTTTCAGCTTTATAAAAACCCTAATGGGGGCGTTCTTGAAAGGCCTGCTCTAGCCTACTCCCACTCTCTGGAATGTACTTTGGCTTCAATAAATCTGTGCTTTTGTTGCTTTGTCTTTCATTGCTTTGTTCTTTTGTTGCTTGTTTGTGTTTGGTTCAATTCTTTGTTCAACACACCAAGAAACTGGAAAACTCACAGTCAAGACATTCCATCTGGTAACAGTTGGATGCAAATGGTACATTTTATCTCAGTAGAAAAGTAACAGCAGACTTAAAGCAGGCAGAAAAGAAAACAGAGAGAGAGAACTCAGAAACTTCAGAGTTGCAGGTCGACCTTTGGGCTCTGAATTTTCATTGATGTAATTTGCCCATCATTTTAAAATGTGCACAAGACCAGACCTAATGTGTAACCAGCTGGAGTATTAAAAACTCTGGCATATCCTTCCATTTACACAGTAGTGTGCAAGTAGAGGCACCATAAAACCAACTGGGGGTTCATTCTCCTTGTCTTTCGTCATTCTTGGAATATTTGTTTCCCACATTTTTTTCTTAAAAGGAGGAACTGAGCTGTGGCCTAGGGTTTAGTGTAGTGGATCAAAATGTACTGATTATGGGCCAGACTCCACAATGTGTCACCACCGAGTTGTTTCTGCCTTCTTACGTGCCTCAGTTTCTCTCCCTGGAAGTCCAGCATCTCTGAGAAGGCTCAAAAACTGCAGTGACCAGCTCTTATATTCATTTCCTGGATGAGCCTTTTTAAACTAATTTTGTTGGGAGTTCCCTGTAGGGCCGCTGCATATCATGGGAGGGGTCAATCCCCCAGACACTCCCACGTGGCCCCCAGTCACCCAGGGGCACCTTTTGGCTGGGAGGATCAAAATGTCCTTTCTCTTCAGACCTGACGAAACTCAGTCTCTCATTTATCTATGAAAATGACAGAGGTCGGGCATGGCGGCTCACGCCTGTAATCCCAGCACTTTGGGAGGCCGAGGCGGGGGGATCACGAGGTCAGGAGATCAAGACCACGGTGAAACCCCGTCTCTACTAAAAATACAAAAACATAGCTGGGTGTGGTGGTGGGTGCCTGTAGTCCCAGCTACTCAGGAGGCTGAGGCAGGAGAATGGTATGACCCCAGGAGGCGGAGCTTGCAGTGAGCCGAGATCGCGCCACTGCACTCCAGCCTGGGCGACAGAGCGAGACTCCGTCTCAAAAAAAAAAAAAAGAAAAAAGAAAAAGAAAATGACAGTACAGTTGCTCATACATATGTGCAGACAAGCCAATTGAGATTAATTTTGGGAGGAAAGGCAATGGAGAAAGCTGTTTAGAATGCATCTCTGAACTAGAATTAGGATCCTAAACAACAACTTCCTAAAGGAAAAAAAAAAATGTAAGGTCACTTCCTGTAGACTGTCCTCAGCTACACCTAACTTTGTAGCTCTCATCCATCATTTCACATGCCAAGGTCAAATCCTCTCACACTACAAGGTAATCTCTGTTGCCCCCGCCCAAAGCCAAAGAGGACAGGTAATGCAATACAGGAAAACAGAGCTTTAGTTCTAAAAATAATCTGCCTATGACTCTTTAAACTCCACAAAGAAAACAGAACACTCCAAAAAGGGGTGAATGGCACCAATGTTTTTAGTTATTTGAGGGGTTTGAGTCATTGTACGCCTTCGCTAGATTTTTTATTGGTACCAAAGATGGCAAAGGGAAAAGGAGGAATAGGGTGAAAGGAAAGTAAACCAAAAAAAATTATTTATTTATTTATTTTTAAGACAGGAAGCAAACACAGAAACCAAGCACATGGTTTTTTCTTTTGTTTATTGTTTTGTGTTATTTTTCTTTTGTTTTTTTTTTTGTTTTTGTTGTTGTTTTTGCAGCTGAGAGAAACTTTAGCCAATTCAGAGGGCTTGTTCCTCATAATTTGAAATTCTCATTTGGATTTGACCAAGTTGGGTAGAGTTGGTCAACTATGATGGGAGAAAGACTGAAACAAACCAAAAATTAAAAACAACAACAACAACAATATGACCACGGAGCACTATAATGGTAAGGAGAAATGAAGACCAGCTGGTTGTCAATTTTAACCTTCAGTCATTAAGGAGAACTTTCAAGAGAGAAAAAAAAAATTCAGCTACTTACCTAGGAATGGAACCCCAGCTGAAGACAGCTCCCCACAATTCTAGAAGCAAGAACACACTCAAACTCTCCTTCCCTTTTGGAAGCAAGCTAAAACTCCAGAATGAAACTACTGCCTTCCATTGTCATGCAAGCAGGAAAACTTGCCTTTCTTTTTGGAAGCAAGTAAAACTCCAGAAAAGGAGTTGTAGAGCAAAATAACTTAGATCTCAACCAAATTTTGGGATATCAGGGATTCTCTGGAGGGAGGGGAGCTCCCAGGCCTCAGCAAATTGTCCTATTGGTTGAACCATAAATATAGTTCAAGCTGGTACCAGGCACTGGTACATTTGTCAAAAGTCAGGGGCACCTCCACTCAGAATCCCATAGTGGTTGCCAATATGTAAACCCCAAATATCCGAGACAGGTCTCAATCAACTTAGAAAGTTTATTTTGCCAAGGTTAAGGGCACGCCCATGACACAGCCTCAGAAGGTCCTGACAACATGTACCCAAGGTGGTCAGGGTACAGCTTGCTTTTATACATTTTAGGGAGACATGATACATAAATCAATATATGTTAGATTTACATTGGTTTGATCTGGAAGGGCAGGACAGGACAACTCAAAGCATGGGCTACCAGGTCATAGGTAGGTTTAGAATTTTTCTGATTGTCAATTAGTTGTAAGAGTTATTATCAATAGAAAGAAATGTCTGTGTTTCAATAAGGGATTTTGGAGACCTAGGTTTTATCATACAGATGAAGCCTCCAGGTACCAGGCTTCAGAGAGAACAGATTATAAATGTTTCTTATCAGATTTAAGGTCTGTGTTGATGTTAATACTGGGAGGAGGACAATGAGGCATGTCCAACCCCCTCTTCCATCATGGCCTGAAATAGATTTTCAGGTTAACTCTCAAATGCCCTGGACTGAGAGGAGGGATCCATTCAGATAATTGGGGAACCTTGGAATTTCATTTTCGTTTACAACTCAAACACAGACTGTACACTATCTTCAGGGCCATTGGGAGAAACATTGATAAGGAAAAGGCTGTTCACAGTCTCAAAGTTTCATCCATAGGTCATTTATTAGTTGCCAACGGGTATATTTAACATAAAGACATCTGGTGGACACCACTGTAACCAAATAACAAACTCAGCATTATTATTATTTTTTTTTGAGATGGAATCTCACTCTATTGCCCAGGCTGGAGTGCAATGGCACAGTCTTGGCTCACTGCAACCTCTGTTTCCTGGGTTCAAGCGATTCTCCTGCCTCAGCCTCCTGAGTAGCTGAGATTACAGGTGCACACCACCATGCCTGGCTAAATTTTGTATTTTTAGTAGAGACGGGGTTTCACCATGTTGGCTAGGCTGGTCTCAAACTCCTGACCTTGTGATCTGCCTGCCTTGGCCTCCCAAAGTGCTGGGATTACAGGTGTGAACCACGGCACCCTGCCAAAACTCAGCATTATTAATAACTGGGCATTCTGACCTGCTGTGCTTCCTGATGGGAAAAAAGCTAGAACTACACTGTAGCACATATTAATTTTTCATTCCAGAAATGTTCAAACCTTATCCACTCATGAGAGGACAACCAGGGAATTTAGAAAACTTGGCCTCAATTCTTTAAAAAAGGTCAATGTTATAAAGGATCAGAGAAGGCTGGAAGACTGTCCTAGATTGAAGTGAACAAAACTCAATGGGTGATCCCAATTTGGAAACATATTACCAGGATGTGGTTTTAAATATAGCTCAAAACTGGGACTCTTGAACATGAGCTATACATTAAATAATGTTGCTTTATCATAATTAAACTGTATTAGTTATAATGATAGAATAGAATTGAAAGCATGTTCTTTTTTTAGAAGACAAATGCTGAATATTTAGGGGTAAATGTGTGAATGTGTGTGTGTGTGTGTGTGTGTGTGCACATCTTAGGTCGGTGCAAATGTAATTGCAGTTTTTGTCATGGCAAAAACCGCAATGGCATTTCCACCAACCTAATATATGTAGATTAAGAAATAAATTTCAAATAAAATAGAGAAAGGCAGAAAACAGATGTTACAAAATGTTAATTGTTGAACTAGTGGAGAATGTGTGTGTGTGTATTGTACTAATATTTCAGCTGTTCGGTATGTTTGGAATATTTTAAAGTGTAGAGTTGGGATGGGGGAAGAAACCATTAATAAGGATTGTTGGGTTTGCATAACAGAAAAAGAAAAATAAATAAATATTAGACTCTAGAGATGTCTTGCTATAGATTTACCATATGCTCCATAAAGCATTTGGTCAAGTCAATTTTAAAAGTGTTGGTTAGTCTTTCCTCTGGGGAACATTTAATTCAAGTGTGCTTCTTCCTAAAAACAAAGAGAATATTTATAGCTTCCAAAATATGTACTATTTAAATACTGTCTACCATGAACATATTCAATTGTAAATTTTAGGACAGCTAGAAATGATTAAAATGTGTGTTAGTGAATTACATAATTGAAAAAAGAAGTTAGTTCAAAAGATCATAAGTGCTTCCATTCATCATTGATTATATGGCTTTGGCCAGACGTTCCAAACTTGAGTATACGAACAGCAAGACAGATATGGAAACATACCATTTTCATGCAGTGGCTAAGTACATAGCTTTATTTCAGGCAAGGGGAACTTGTACATGACCCCATTATTTTCTAATTGTGTGACTTTAAACAACTACTGGCTTTTTCAGGGCCCTGATATCAGAAACAAAGTCCAAGAAAAATATTACCTACTCTCTAAGACTATTCAGAGGCTATATGGAAATGATATAATGAATGCTAGGTAATAACACAGTACCTGGCACAAATAGTACAAGGCCTTTAGCATCACTTTTATCACACAATCCTCTCGTTTTTATCAGAAATGTCCTTCCCAACTTATGCCCAGGGAGACCATCCTAAATCATGCCAGATTGTAATTTAAATAACAGAATGGAATTGAAATCCACAATGTTGGAGTGCCTTTTCATTTCACTGTGACTTTTTTATTATTATTCTTTAAATGTTTGTAAAATTTTTTGAGTACATAGTAGGTAAATATATTTATGGGGTACATGAGATGTTTTGATGCAGGCATGCAATGTGAAATAAACACATCATGGAGAATGGGGTATCCATCCCCTCAAACATTTATCCTGTGAGTTACAAACAATCCAGTTACATTCTTTATGTTATTTTAAAATGTAGAATTAAGTTATTACTGACCATAGTCACCCCGATTGTGCTGTCAAATAGTAGGTCTTATTCATTCTTTCTTATTTTTTTGGACCCATTAACCATCTCCACCTGCCCCCCAAACAACTACACTTCCCAGCCTCTGGTAACTTTAATATTGAATACTTTTATTTATTTATTTACTTTTTTATTTTTTGAGATGGAGTTTCACTCTTGTTGCCCAGCCTGGAGTGTAATGGTTGTGATCTCAGCTCACTGCAACGTCCACCTCCCGAGTTCAGGCAATTCTCCTGCCTTGGCCTCCTGAGTAGCTGGGATTACAGGTGTGCACCACCACGCCCGGCTAATTTTTGCATTTTTAGTAGAGACTGAGTTTCACCATGTTGGTCAGGCTGATCTTGAACTCCTGACCTCAGGTGATCCACCCGCCCTGAGTAAATGCTCTACCACTAACTGTCCCTGTATGTGTGGAAAGGCATAGCGAATCTATAACTATTGCAATTGTTTTCTGACAAGGTACAAAATATTGCCCTTTAAAAAATATTTTTATTAAAATAATAGTTCTTAAATATTTTATTTAAATTTAAGCTTAATTTAATAATATGTATTATAATTTATAATATATTTTATTATATATCCTTATAATGTATAAAATAAATAGAAATTTATTTAGAAACAAGGTCTCATTCTTTTGCCCAGGCTGGAGTGCAATGCAGTGATACAAACATGGCTCACTGCAGCCTCAGACTCCTGGGCTTACATAACCTCCCAACTCAGCCTCCTGAGTAGCTGGGACCACAGGTGTGCACCACCACACCTGGCTAATATTTTTTGTTATTGTTTGTAGAAACAGAGTCTTGCTATGTTCCCCAGGCTGATCTTGAATGCCTGGGCTCAAGCAATATTTCCACCTTGGCCTCCCAAAGTGCTGAGATTACAGGCATGAGCCACCATACCTGGCAAAATTTAAAATTTAAATTTATTTAAAATCATAAAATATTGAGACATAGAGAATTAATATTAACTGCTGTGCTGTTCACTTTTCTGTTTTAATGCATTTTTAATCATAATAATTGTACTAAGTGCCCATATAGCCATCCTGTATAACTTGTAAAATTTTTGCTTCATGGAAGAATATGGGCAGAAGCCAATTTTGTGTAAGTTGGTTATTCTTTTATCAGAGGAAAATTGGAAATGAACTGTTACCTTCATTAAAAACTGGTTGTGTGAAAATAATATTAGTATAGCTGTATTCCTATTTGATATAGGGAATAAATTATTATTTTCAACTTTATTTTTCTTTAGTCCACCATCATTTTATGACCACTTGAGAGTGCTTCTTCCATTCGCTTTGTAGTTGTCATGTGCAGCTGCTTGTGGATTGTCACTAAGCTGACCTACAAATGAGAATTCGTAGGTATGTGATTAAGAAAATGCTCCCAGAAGAAAAAAAGTGGGAAGCAGAGTAAGCAGGGCAGAGAATCAGTTACTCCAAATAAAAGATAATATTTCAGTCAAAGTCAGTGTCAGTCTGATCCCATAGGGTTCTGTAGAACTGAAATTGCACCAGAGTTTTTTTTCTGTTTGAGGCAAGAGACCTGGGGTCTTAAACTCTCACACCAAACAGATATTGGCTATGAGTTTGCCACAGGGAACATGAACACCCAGGTATACCTCAGGCTTTGAACAGTAATAATCCAATGGAAATTTTCTGAAGAAGGTTAGAAGTGCACAGTTAGGACTAAGCATGTAGAAGGTGAGGGACAGGAGCACATCACAGGTAAACTGGACCCAAGGGGACATTTGATAGAGTGGTCTTTTTCTTTTTTTTTTTCTCCTTCTGGAATCACTGTTAAAATAATTTTTTGATTCTATGATAGCAATGATGATGGTGTTATGAATCAAGTATTATACATGATCTAGGTAATTATTAATTAAAAGCAGATGATCAGTTAATAGAATTTTGATTGATCACTATGCTTAGTATAAACATACAATAAGCAAAAGTAATAATTCATGATATCAAGAAATTTTAAGCTTCATTGGGAAAGAGAACAACACATAAAATAATTACATATATGTGTTAGTTCTCTATTGCTGCCATAAAAATTAGCATAAACTCAAAGGTTTAAAACAACGCTGATTTTTTATCTCACAGTTCTGTAGGTCAAAAGTCCAATGTGGCATGTTTGGGTTCACTGCCCAGGTCCCAATGTAGCAGGATGAGCTGCAGATAAGAACCCCTCAGACACCCAGTTGTGGAAGGAAAGGGCTTTCTTTATTCAGCTGGGAGCATCGGCGGACTCACCTCCAAAAACCGAGCTCCCCGAGTGAGCAATTCCTGTCCCTTTTAAGGGCTCACAACTTTAAGGGGTCTGCGTGAGAGGACTGTGATCGATTGAGCAAGCAGTGCATATGTGACTGGGGGCTGCATGCCCTGGTAATCAGAACAGAACAGAACAGGACAGGGATTTTCACAGTGCTTTTCCATACAATGTCTGGAATCTATAGATAACATAACCCGTTAGGTCAGGGGTCATTCTTTAACTACCAGGCCTGGAATGCAGCACCGGGCTATCTGACTACTGATTTCACTTCTGTCTTTTCTTTAACTCCTACTTTTTCTTTGAGGCAGAAATTGGTCATAAGACAATCTGAGGGGTGGTCTCCTCCCTTACCAAAATCAAGGTGCCAGCCAGGCTACAACACCCATCTGAGGCTTGGATCCTTTTCCAAACACAATGGTTGTTGGCAGAACTTGTTTCCTTATGGTTATAAGACTGAGACACCATTTTCTTTCTAGTCATCAGGCAGAAGTGACTCTTAACAATTAAAGACTTCATACTCGCAGGCCATCTTACAACATGGCACTTTATTCCTTCTTCCTTGAAGTCAGCAGGAGTGCATCTTTCTATCACTTCTGTACATGCAGACAAACTCTACTAGTTTCTAACCTAGTTAAAAATCAACTAAGTTAACCATAAGATGTAATTGATAATTTAGTTTGTAAATATAAATAACAAATATAATACATTCCCTGAGTAATGTTTAACTTCTTACCTGAATGAGTAAGGACTACCCAGATAATGTTCATATTTTAAGGCAAACTGACCGGGGCTTTAATTACATTTGCAAAATGTATTCCTAGAAGGACATTGATCAGTGTTTGATGAACAATTATGAGGCTGAAAGCTTTGGGGGCCATATTTAGGATTTTGCTCATCATAGCATGTAAAAACAAATCAACACTGAACAAAGAAATGAGATGTATGTCTTTAGGATGAAGAATATTAAATGATTGATTTAAACAAAATTAACTTAGAAAAAACAATATCATCCTGAGGCCACAGTAAAGAATGCAGAGCATGATTAGAAACAGGTAAATCAGGTTTAGTGGCAAGACAGGTTGAGAGGGAAAGGAAGAAGCTTGGCTAGCAAAGGTGGCCTTGTTATATAGATGAAGCCTTCTTCAGCGAGAATGGATGGTAAATGTTTCTTTTCAGACATTGAAAGGTGTCAGACTCTCGGTCTTTTCTGGATGGTGGCAGGAAGGCATAGAAAAGGGAAGGGGCATGGCTGCATTAATGGCGATTCTTCACAGATGAAAATTTTCACTACTTAAGACAGCTTTGTAAGGCCACTTCTGTCAGAATGGCCAAGCTGCAGCCATTTCAAAATATGTCAAAGAAATATATTCTGGGGTAAAATATTATAATTTTGTTACAGGTAGTTAGACAGGCATGAGCAGGGCAGGAGAGAACGCTCCCCTGACTCACCAGGAATGTCAGGCAATCATTGGGTGATGGTTCAACAATGATCACATTTCCTCTCTGAAAATGATAATTCAGCAGCCAGCACCAGGGAGAGACAATCACGTGATGGTTCACAGCTGTTACATTAAAGTGTTAATTGAATGCAGGCACCAGGGAGAAAAAAGGGCACCAATATGATCTCAGGTATTGGGCAAGTAAGCCTGGGCATGCGCATTAAGAGACAAAATGGCCGAGTATGACCTTCAGGGTGCACTCCTCAGGAAAAGGGAAGAAAGCCTCAAATGGGCATGTGTACACCCTAAACACACTGCATGTGCTCACCTCCCAAGCATAAGAAGGGCACTGCACATGTGGGCAGCCCACCCTAAGCAAAGAATCATGGGAAAGGGACACAAGACTCCAGAGGGGGGCCAGCATATAAAGTCCTAGGATCAAGGTTAAATGGGGCACATGACCTTCAAGTCACCTGCTTGGATCTCTTTCAAGTGTACTTTCCTTCTCTAAAGCTTTTTTTTCTTTCTTTTAAATAAATCTGCTCCTGCTCTGAAACTTGCCTTAGTCTCTTTTTCTACCTTATGACCCTTCGTTGAATTTTTTCTTCTGAGGAGACAAGAATTGAGGTTGCTGCAGACTTGTATGGTTTTGCCACTGGTAACTCGGATACTTTCCACCCCTAACAATTACTTTCACTTACCTACCATAAAATGTGCCAACTAGTGGCTGGCATAGTTCAAAACTGAAAGATAAACTATGCACCTGTGAGGAAAAGAAGGAAAAATGGGCATGAAATGAATGGACTCCTTCAGTACTATGAAAAGAATTTGAAATTTTTCATCACGGCACTATTAACATCTGTATGAAAGGAAAATAAATCTCGGGACTCTCAAATCACTAAGCCAAGGGAAAAGTCAAACTGACAACTACGTCACACAAACCTGCCTCCCATTTTATTCCTAAATAAGATAGCTATGAAGATATTTATTCCTAAATAAGATAGCTACAAAGATATTTATTCCTAAATAAGATAGCTACAAAGATACTTATTCCTAAATAAGATAGCTACGAAGATAAAAAGCTACCTACTTCCCTCACAATTTGCCTGCCAGGAAATTCCTTGTGGACAAAGGACAGACAGAACTCAAAGTCATCCCTCTGAGGCTCACCTGAGAGAAATGCACATCTGATTACTTCCTCCGCCCTACTATTTGGGTAAAAATGCTGATTGACTGAGTCAGACTAAATTGTGTATTCAGTGGAATACACAATTTAGTGGCTGATCAGGACTCAAAAGAATGCAACCTTTTGTCTCTTATCTACTTATTACCTGGAAGCCCCCACCTCAAGTTGTCCCACCTTACCAGGCTGAACCAATGTACATCTTACACAAATTTACTGATGTCTCCCTAAAATGTATAGAAGCAAGCTGCACCCCGACCACCTTGGGCACATGTCATTAGGACCTCCTGAGACTGTCACAGGTACATTTTTAATCTTGGCAAAATAAACTTTCTAAATTGACTGAGACCTGTCTCAGATATTTGGGGTTCACATCTGAAACATTTGAAAGTTGAATGATGCTTCATTCCGCAAAGAAGAACTTATTAGCTATCATTTAAATAAGTGTGAGGACTAAAATAGAATCTGAATCCAAATTAAGGACAAGCAAATGGCAGAGAAAACAACCATCAATTAATTAGAAGAGGGTAATGAGATAATTAAGACCTCAGTGAGGTCACTTTTTAACAAAATGATATTATTTAATAAAACATAATCTAAAGTTCTCATACATTATAGCTTTCTAAAGATTCTAAAGTAAAGGTAAAGGAAAAGTGAGTAAATTTAATTTGACACTAAAGGCAAAAAAAAAATAGATGTCATACATGAAAAAGAGAATAGGCACATTGTGATGTAATGGCATCCAGACGCTATGATAGTAAAGGTCAGGAATAATAAATTTTTAATTTCTGGGCTAATTCTTTAATAAATAACATCAACTAGCACTCAACACCCTGCAAACAATTTAAACATTGAGCTTGAGTGTAAATGATTGGTTTTCGATGATTAGAGTGTCCTCATATTCATCCCAATGATCATTAAAATATGTATATATTTTTAAAAAGTACTTGAGGTTTACTTGTTAGCAGTGGCGAATCTCTATGGGTCTGCAACAACCTCAATTCTTGCCTCCTCAGAAGAAAGGATTCAACCGAGGAGCATAAGACAGAGGGAGAGATCAAGGCAAGTTTTAGAACAGGAGTGAAAATTTATTAAGAAGTTTTAGAGCAGGAACAAAAGGAAGTAAAGTACACTTGGAAGAGAGCCACACAGGTGACTTGAGAAATTTAGGAGCATGGAGTTTTATACGTTGGCATGCTTCCAGGGTCTTGTGTTGCTCCTTCCCTGATTCTTTCCTTGGGGTGGGCTGTTCACACGTACAGTGGCCTGCCAGCACTTGGGAGGTGTCGCACACACAGTATGTTTACTGAAGTTGGGCACATGTTCACTTGAAGTGTTTTTCCCTTACCAGTTCCTAGAGGAAGGCCATATACCAGTTGAACTCTGGCATTTTACCTCTTAGTGCACATGCTTAAGCCCACTGTCCCAGCTCCTGAGATCTTATCAGGAAGCTGCTGGTCACCAGTTTCAGGTGTTTTCTATCTATTGGGAGCCTGCCAGTCTCTGGTGTGGGCTGCAACCAATTATTATTTCAGAGAGACAGTTTAACAACCACCTGACCATCTCCTGATGGTCACCTGATATTCCTGATGGGTAAGAGGGGGCCCTCTCCTCCCCTGCTTATGTCTGCATAATTACCTACTGTAACAGACTGTGATGGATGATTTAGAATATACAAATCATCAGGGTCTTTGGAAACTAGAAGTATGCAAAGAAAAATCAACTAGGTTAACCATAAGATGTAACTGATAATTTATTTTGTAAATATAAATACCAAATATAATACATACCCTGAGTAATACAAAATCACACATACACATGTTCTATTTGAATGGCATTTATCAAATATTTCTCATATTCTTAATATTTGTTATGTTCAAAGATTCCCATTGCTACAAGTCTCCATTGCATTTCCCCAGTTCATTTCTTTCTCAGCTCTGGATACTTTTCCCTCTATGTCCATGAAATTTAAAGGGAGTCCATCTTTAGGTTCACTTAAGGCATTAATTCTCACAAAATAGTTCTGCAAGGAATATTTAATCTTTGTTTCAATAAATTGCATTTCATGAACCTGGACCTTCAGGATTGCCTACAGACACTATCAAAATAATAATTTTGTTAAATTAACAAATGCCAATATTTGTGTGATGTATACATGTGTGTATCTGTGTATATATATTATAGTTATGTACCTACATAACTAGTACAAGTGCCAATTTGAACCTCTACTCTGACATTTAGTAACAAGAGGTGTGGGATATTGGGCAATTTTTTAAATGTTTCTGTGCTTGATTTTTTTTTAAATGAGGATGCAAATAAGATTATAATGAGAATTAAATATGAAAATGTACATAAAGTACATGTTCCTTACATTTGGCATATAGTAGATGTTACATAAGTATCAATATGTAAATATAATGTGTTTACCATGTGTATATGCATATACATATATGTAACAAACACAAACATGCACTTATAAAAGAAATGGAAAGAAATAAATGAATATATTAACTCTACTGTGTTTATCTGATGAGAGTTTGTATTTTTCATCATATTTGGATACAAATTTCAAATTTTCAATTATGTGCTGATCTCTCAGGTACAGTCAGAAAAAAATGATAAATATTTGTTCGTTCACTTGGAAAACTGGTTTTAATCTGACACATTAGAGTTCAAGTGATTATCAGAAATAATTTCTTCATAATGAGAGCTTTAAATACTAGAATAGGCTACTAGTTGTGTGAAAGTGTTTTTTGGACACCTTAATACTTTTCACTTTTTTAAGGTTAATTTAAGAGAGAAGAATAGACCTCAGATTTTTCAAGCCCTGACAGCAAGCCCGATGGTTCTATGATTATATGGAAGTCAAATCCTATTATCAAAGGTGTGCTTCATAATCAAAATATAAGAAGCATGACCACTAGTGTACCTGGAAAACTGGTGGGCTTTTCCTTAAGGGATTTTTTTTTCTGTGATTTCGTTGATAATATGGATGTAGATGAGCATTTTTTTTCTTATATTTAACTTAAATTGGCTATACTTCCAAACGTGACTATTCATATTTGATCAAATACATATATGAATTTACATATAAATATATATACACAACCACAGTCTAAAGACAAAAATCATCCATGTTGACTCCAAGAGCTCCAACTGATTCTTTTTTTCATATTTAATATTACATTATATAATTGTAGCACATTCTCCACATTAAGGACACTTTTTTTGTATCACAAAGTGCTGCTAGAAGCATTCTAATACATTTTTCACGTGCCTAAATGCAATAATTAGAATACATACCCCAAAGTGAAGTTAATATTCCATAGAAAATTTGTATATTCAAATGAGCATGTTAATGATAAATGGCTCTGGAAAATGTTTGTATCAATTTACTCACCACCAACAATACTCCTTATCAACATCTCTTATTAGTAGACTCTAGCCATTTAGGTCTCTTTCTTGCCAAATAACTGCTCATTTTTAGTCCACCTTTTGCTATAAAATTGTCTTTTTTCTGAATTGATTTTTAGTTTTGTATATATTCTAAATATCAATGCATTGTTACATATATTCATTTAAAATATTTTTCCACAATGACATCTTTCATGTTATTCAGCTTTATAAAATCTTTCATTAAAAAATTATACTCACAAAATGTTGCTGAAGAGTATTGTGTTGCCATTACCAAGCTTTTCCTAAAACCCAGCTTCCTCCAGTGATGTGCACGTCATCTAGTTTCCCCAATAGTAACACCTTATGTTACTATAGTACATTATCCAAACCAGGAAATTGACATTGACACAATAAAATAACTACACTAGAAACTGTACATGTGCTTCATCAGTTTTTGCATACCTTCTTGTTTTGGGTATGTCTTTTTGTATAATTCTACAAATTTTGTATAGATTCACATATATATGTGTCTACAGATTATATCTGTATGGATTCATAGAACTCCTACCACATTCAAAATACAGAACTTGTCAATTGCTAAAAGGAAGCTTACTTGTACTATCAATTTATAGTAACATACACTCCTTCCTATTTCACAAATCCCTGGCAAAAACCGATCTGTCCTTCATCTAAAATTATGTCTTATCAAACATGTTATATATATATTGAATCATATAGTGTGTAACCTTTAATCATTTATGTTGAAATAAATAAATATTTCCTAGAACTTGCAAAGATAAGTATAAATAAATATTTCCTAGAACTTGCAAAGTGAAGTGGTTTTGTTTTTAGAATTCTGCCTACCAAGTTAGTGTTTGTATACTACATCATATTCCATATTTTTATTTTTAAATTGCTGTCATTATTTTTTGCCTATGTCATTATTTTATCCAGCACATAGTTACATCATATTAATTTTATCCATCTGTCAATCTTTTTCAATTAGTGCACTTAGAACATTCATATTTCACATAATTATTCATACCTTAAGATTATGTCTGACACTTTATTTGCTGTTCTGTTTATTCCCACTGCTTTTCTTTCTGTTTCCCTTTTCCTCACTTTCTGCAGACTACTAGACCTTTAAATTTTATCTATAACTTTTAGTATATCTCTTCTTTTACTTTTGAAATTTATTTAAAATTATGCTTTATGTTTGAGGACTGAGAGAACCATCACACCATATTCATGGGAGTACAACAGAATACTTCCCCTACTTAGGTCCTAGGAAGCCGAATGCAGAGTAAGGCAGAGGTGTTCTTCAAAATTTCCTATGAAGGAACAGAAGTGAGGGTCTTGGACTGAGAGGTGTGGCCTCAAGTGACCAGAAAAAGGAATCGTGGATCCTCTCAGGGGCCAAACTAAGGATCCTGAGTGAGAACTGATGCAACCACCCAACCCAGAACAGAAGGTGACCTCTAGGCCTTGACCTACCTGCTGTGGCTGTAAGTGTTGGGAGATCACAGAAAAAACTGTAGCCAGATGAAACAGCCTTCAGTTCCTCCTAGGAAAGTGAAGGGCTTCTTCAGGGAGGTGCAGGTCTTTTTTTTTTTTTTTTCTTGAGTCGGAGTTTCGCTCTTGTTGCCCAGGCTGGAGTGCAATGGCGCCATCTCAGCTCACCACAACCTCTGCATCCCAGGTTCAAGTGATTCTCCTGCCTCAGCCTCCCAAGTAGCTGGGATTACAGGCATGTGCCACCATAACTGGCTAATTTTTTTTTTTTTTTTTTTTTTTTTTTTAGTAGAGACTGGGTTTCTCCATGTTGGTCAGGCTGGTCTTGAACTCCCGACCTCAGGTGATCCACCCACCTCGGCCTCCCAAAGTGCTGGGATTACAGGCGTGAGCCACTGTGCCCGGCCAGCAAGGCGTAGGTCTTAATGTGAAGAAATAAGCCTGAAGTCAAAAGGGAGAGAAACACCAATCCCTGACAGAATTGAAAGCAAAGACTTGGAGTGAGGACCGAGGCACTACCCACTTTTGAATAGAGGTAGCAACAAAGAGTCTGGCCCTGCCCTTATGGCCAGTCCTTGAATACCCTAGGCTGGCCCGTCGGGCTGAAGCTCCTCTTCACTTTTTAATATTAGGTCTAAGGGAGGTGAGATCCGTGATCTGAAGGTGCAGCCACTGGTTACCCAGACCCTACATGGAGTCAAGGTGGGGACCTTCAGTGAGAACTGAAGACCCCAGTAGCTCAAGACAGAAAGGGTGCCACAGATCTGTCAGCACTGGGTACCACATGGCAAGGATGGTGTCTGAAGCACCGCTTCCTTTTCTCTGAGAAAAGCCTTGGTTTGAGGTGTCAACTTTAGAGCAGCAGAAGGGAGGAGACCCAAGCCTTGCCAATCATTGATATGATAATTCTGAATGTGAAATGACAAGACAACCTAACCCAGAATAGAAGGGTCACCCCAGTATACCTCAGACAGGACTGGCAGACCTACGGCTCACTATAACTTCTTTCTAGGGTGTATAGTTTCCTAGGACTACCGTGACAAAATAGCACACATTTGATGGCTAAAAACAACAGAAATTTATTCAAGTTCTGGAGGCTAGACGACCAAAATCAAGGTGTCAGCAGTGTTGGTTCCTTCTGGAGACTCTAAGAGAGAATCTATTCCATTTTTCTTTTCTAGCTTCTGACTTATATCACAAGTTCTTAACTACTATGGATTTTTAGTAATTCGAAACATCTGATAGAGTAAAGCACATTTTGTTCTTTTTTTTTTAAGGGGATATGGGACAGTTTTGACCATTTGCAAATTAATTTAAATTTTATAATCAGCTTGTCAAGCCTGACAATGTAACATATACACAGATACACAAAAACCTTTAGGGTTTTATTTATGGGAGAAAAATTACAATCATCTATAGTTTGAATTTGAAAAGAATTAACATGTTTATAATGTTGAATCTTCTAGCTACCAACATATAATATTCCTCTATTTAGTTAGGCCTTGATTGACTTATACATAGTAGCTGTGTAATTTTTCCATTGAGTTGTTACAGTTTTTATATTCCATTGAGTTGTATTTACTTTTAGGTACCAGGTATTTTGTTATGGTAGTTTACAAATGATATTTAATTTCATTTTCATACTGTTTGTTACCACAGAACCAAAGTGTATGTTTGTACGTTAATCTTATTGTCAGAAACTTTATAAACAATTTTATTGATTAGTTTATCATTAGATTTTCCTCATAAATTCGAATCCTCTGTTAATAATACCAGCTTTGTTTCTTATTTTCCAAGAATAAGCCCTTTGATTTCATCTGTTTCCCATTACTTTCCTAATGTAGTATCTTCATTAAAATATTGACTAGAAATGATGATTGCAGGCATCCTGTTTTCTTCCCAATTTTATTTTCTTATTTTTATTTATTTATTTATTTTTGAGACGGAGTTTTTCTCTTGTTACCCAGCCTGGAGTGCAATGGCAGCAATGTCGGGTTACTGCAATCTCCCCCTCCCGGGTTCAGGTGATTTTCCTGCCTCGGCCTCCAGAGTAGCTGGAATTACAGGTGCCCACCACCACGCCGGGTAATATTTGTATTTTTAATAGAGACAGGGTTTTGCCATGTTGGCCAGGCTAATCTCAAACTCCTGACTTTGGGTGATCCGCATGCCTCAGCCTCCCAAAGTGCTGAGATTATAGGCATGAGCCACTGCACCTGGCCTTCCTCCCAATTTTAAAATAAAACTCTCAGTGTCTCTATATTGAGTATATTTACTATAGATGTTTTGTAAATATCCTTTACCTAATTTGATAACATATCATTTATCATAAACACTAATTTTTATAAACCAGTTTAAAAACTTTGATATAATTTAAATTTTTTTTTGTTAATGTGGTATTCTCTTCTGTTATGTAAGTATGAAAGCTTTCAGAGTAAAAAATTTAAAAGTATGTTTCTAACCCGCCAGGAATTGATTTTCGTGTTAAATGTGAAGGAGAGTTTCAGTCATATTTTGTTTTTAATATGGATATCAAATTGTTCCATTGTCATTTCTTAGTAAAAACACTGTTCTTTCCCCCATTTATTTGTAGTGGCATATTTTTAACAAATCAGGAGACCTTGTATAACAGGTATGTTTTGACACTCTCTATTCAGTTTCTTTGGTCTACGCGACTATGCCTGCATCTTTACTAAAAACTGTTATTTACTATATGTTTTAATAATCCTTAATATCATATCTTCTTTTTCTTTCTCAAGTGTATACTGTCTGTTCTTAGCCATTTGCAAGTCTATTTATATTTTAGAATCAGCTTGTGAAGTTTGACACACATATGCACATATACACAGTCATTCACGAACAACAACTACGTGACTTTATTGCAAGAAAAGGATTATACTCATCAGTAGAAAAAATTTGGGGAGAATTAACATGTTTACAATATTGAGTCTTCTATCTAAGATGGTATTATATTTCTCCAATTAGATCTTTAGAAATTTCTCTAAATAATAGCTGTATAACTCTTCCACAGAATTTTTTTTTTTTTATTTTTTTGAGATGGAGGTTCACTCTTGTTGCCCAGACTGGAGTGCAATGGCGTGATATTCGCTCAAAAGAACCTCCACCTCTCAGGTTCAAGCAATTCTCCTGCCTCAGCCTCCCGAGTAGCTGGGATTACAGGCATGCGCCACCATGCCCACCTAATTTTGTATTTTTTTTTAGTAGAGATGGGGTTTCTCCATGATGGTCAGGCTGGTCTCGAACTCCTGACCTCAGATGATCTTCCCACCTTGGCCTCCCAAAGTGCTGGGATTACAGGCATGAACCACTGCGCCCGGCCTCCATAGAATTTTTATACTTTACAAATTATATTTACTTTTAGGAACTGGGTATTTTGTTATTGTAACTTACAAGTTATATTTTATTTAATTTAATCTTCATGCTATCAATTGGTACAGAAAAAAGAGTATTTTTGCATATTAATATTATACCCAGGAACCTTTAAAAATACTTTTATTGCTTTAATAGTTTTTCTTTAGTAGATTTTCCTCATATACATTCTATTCATGTTTAATGACAGAAACACTGTTCCTTATTTTCCAATCCCAATCTCTTTGATTGCCTCTGTTTCCCATTACTTTATTATCTTCATTACAATAAAGAATAGAAATGGTGATAACAGGAATCTTTGCCTACTTCTCAATTTTAATGTAAAAGTTTTTAATATTTTTACATGAAGTATGATTTTTACTGTAGGGCTCTTTTGTAGATGTCCTTGATCTAGTTTAAGAAAATATATTTTTTATAATGAATGAGTGATGACTATTTTTATGAACGATTTTTTCTCTAAATTTGCATATAATTTTTGTCATTTAATCTGTTAAGTGGTATGCCAATACTGAACCTATTTGTCTCAGATCCATTCTTTACCCTTGCTCTGCTCTTTCTCTACTATACAGAGCCTCTCAATCCCTAGGCTCCCCCACATCTGAATGCCAACTGGGTTCTGCAACAGGAGGCAACAGTAGGAGATTAGAGTACACAGAAATCGGAGGGGTCAGCAATTTTCTCCTTCTTGCTCTAGTTACATGAAATATATATATAATATCATTTTATAAATATTAATTACAAAAAGCAGAAATTATTATATTCAATGATATTATACAAAATATAGGTGCAGAAGAGATTCAAATATAAAATAACTGTATACCATTATCTCAGAATAACCAACTGGTGGATAAGGAAAGGTTTGTACCTATAGTAGAATTTCAGTTAGTAAGCTAGGAATGAATAATAGAATGAGATAATTATCCTTGTATAGCCCCTAATATTATAGATAATGGATAAAAGTCATGATCTTCAGCACTGCCAATGTCACCAAAAAGGGAGACCTGTACACAGGCATTGGGTATACCCAATGAAAGTACAAAGAATAATCTTTGGAGTGGTTTTGCCAAAGAACAAATTCTTAATCTGAACAAGCTGCTACCATTAACTACTGATGACATGGGAAATGTCAAGTATATTGGGTTCATTGTACTATCATTTCTACTATTGCATATGTTTAAGAATTTGTATCATAAACCATTTTACTATAAATATTATGTCCTTCAAGTTGAAAACCCAAGTGAAATGAACTAATTTTTAGCAAAATCTAAAGGAATAAATAGGTTCATAAAACATACAGAAATATAGTCAAACAACACAAACTGAAACTGTAGTCAAAGATCAAGCCATCCTCAAACAGTTTGAAAACCAGTTAGGTTTGAAGGCCAGTTGCACTATCTATTCAGAGGAAAAAAATTAGTGTACGGGTCACGTCTGTAATCCCAGCACTTTATGAGGCCGAGGCGGCCAGATCACTAGGTCAGGAGTTCAAGACCAGCCTGACCAACATGGTGAAACCCCGTCTCTACTAAAAATACAAAAGTTAGACGGGCATGGTAGCGCACGCCTGTAATCCCAGCTACTCGGGAGGCTGAGGCAGGAGAATCACTTGAACCCGGGAGGCAGAGGTTGCAGTGAGCCAAGATCATGCCACTGCACTCCTGCCACGGTTACAGAGCGAGACTCCATCTCAAAAAAAAAAAAATAGTATCTTATGGAAACTCATCCAAAAGATCCAAAAAGATTTGAAATTATTCAAAATATTTTTACAAGTGAACATTTTTTGATAGAAAAACCAGATAAAGGTGGTCCAAGTAAAGGGGACTTGAACCAAGGCTATTCACAATTAGACAATATCCTAACTAAATTAACAGCATATTCAATATCGGAGTGAACAGGGCGCTTCACGCTTTCCACCCCGCCCCGCCCCGCCCCTTTTGTTGGTCCTGCGAGGCCTCCGTCTGGGGTAACTGGATGTGACGCCCCGGATTTCCTCTTCTGAGTCCGAGGACTGTGACGACCTTATCTGAGGAAGGTGCACCCTAGTCATCAGAGGAACGAGTCGCTGCAGGCACTGTCAGGTGTCGAGGTAAAACTCTGAGACTGAGGGAAATAGAGCGCCCTGCAGATAAGAGCCCCAGGCCCTGCAGTCAACTCTGGGAGGCCGTGGGCTGGACTTTCAGGCTGAACCCACCCCACATTTCTCCCTCGGGAATCTGATTAAGGTGAAGTCCTTATTTGGGCAAGGGTAAGAGTCCTTAGATTTGCCGAGAGTTAAAAAAGAAAAAAGCCCTTGAGTGAGTGCTGAGTCGATCACCAGAGATCACTCACAATAGAACATTGGCGGACACACTGAGTGAGGGCCGGCCTGTTTGTCAGCCCTGCAAGGCTTGGGGGCAAGGGCAGCCGGAAGTGTTGCTTACTGACTTCCGCCTGCGGAGTCTGAAGGAGGTGAAGCTTTAGTCTGATATAGGCAGTGTCGTGTCGGCAGAGGAAGGCATCTCAGGCCCTGCAGGAGTCCAGGTGAGGACCCTGAGTTTCTTTTGTTTTGTTTTTTTTGAGACGGAGTCTCTCTCTGTTGCCCAGGCTGGAGTGCAGTGGTGTGATCTCGGCTCACTGCAAGCTCCGCCTCCCGGGTTCACGCAGTTCTCCTGCCTCAGCTTCCTGAGTAGCTGGGACTACAGGTGCCCGCCACCATGCGCGGCTAATTTTTTTTTTTTTTTTTTGTATTTTTAGTAGAGACGGGGTTTCACCGTTTTAGCCAGGATGGTCTCGATCTCCTGACCTCGTGATCCACCTGCCTCGGCCTTCCAAAGTGCTGGGATTACAGGCATGAGCCACTGCGCCCGGCCTCTGAATGAGTTTTAAGGTTCTGCAGGCTCCACAAAAGAGGTTGTGCCACAGTGCCTAGGCCATGTTGTCATTTTTGGGTGTCCGTTCGTGAGGCGTTTGCTCATTTCCTTTGTGGGTATCTCATAGAGATGAAGTCTTGGTTGGAAGGGGGCAGCATCAGTTAGCCGACTGGAGGGAACACATTACCAACTAGTTTCCAATATGGGGACCCCGTGTGAGAATTATGGGATTAGCCAACTGATGACAGAGAAGGATCCAAGGAGCTTTTCCCCTCCCTGGGAGACTCACCCTAGGGGTGTCAAACTGAAGATACTGCTAATTTTCTCCTGGGGTCTTAGGGAAGTGAAGGTTTTGTCTGAGTATATTACATCAGGCCAGCAGAAGGAGTTCCAGGCCTTGGCAGGTTTCATTGAGTTCTGTCAGAAGGGAAAATACACTGCATAAAACTGTAGACCCACAAGTCACAGGGAATGTTTGGGAGACCCAAACAGAGATAGCCAGATGAGACATCCACACACTCCTCTATGGTGTTCAGTGAGAAGGAGGTCTTATTGTGAGGGAAAACTTAAGTCAGAAGGATAAGTCCCAGACCATGAAAAAGATCTGGGCCACATATTCTGGAACAGGGTGTTACCATGGGGCTGTTCTCTGTCCCTTTGGTCAGCCCTCGGAGACCCCTGATATGGGGGCCCACCAGTCAGACAACTTCATGTCATCCTTTTTGGTTTTGGGCAAGTGTAGGCCTTGGTTTGAGGGAGCTAAGTAAGGCCATCAGAGGGAAGATTCCCGGGTGCTTAAATGATTCAAAGTAAGGATGTGGACTTAGGACTGAGAGAAGAACCCACCCCAGAACATAGGTGGCCCCACAGTCTCCACCCATGGTGTCAGTCATAGGAGGCTGGATATCTAGATGAAGTGTCCCCTCACATCCTTGGTAGTCACTGAGGGGTGAATCTTTAGCATAAGGAGGGAACATCAGGCCAGCAGAGAGGAGGAGTCTCTCGCAGTGCCTGGAGCCAAATTGTAGACATTGAGTATAGATGAAGGGGACACCCATTCCAGTACATTTGGGATCTCCATGAGCTCCACTCTGCCTCTGAGTTCAGCCCTTGGAAGTCCAAGGCAGGAGTGGGAAGAATTTCCATACTGTCTTCATCTTCAGGGGTCTCAGGAAGTGAGTGTCATGGTCTGAATAGCAGCCTCAAGTCAATATAGGGGTAGGTGCATAAGGGGTACCGAGAGGTTAGGTGAAGACACAGACTTAAGACTGAGAGATGTCTAATCTCTTCCTTTACAGTTGCCACAGGGAGATGAGATTTTTCTTTTTTCGGCAGGAGTGGCATTAGCTATCAGAAGATGGGGACTGAAGCCCAACCAGTAGTCAAAGTAAGGACCCTGAGTGAGGTCTCAGGGAACCACCCATCCCAGATAATGAGGACAGAACGTAGCCCTGCTTAGCCCTGCTGTCGGTTGTGGGAGGCTCTGGGCAGGGCTGTCAGGATGAGATATCTACTTATTTCCTGTTCAGTGAACTCAGGATAACAAAGGTTTTGGTCTAAGGAAGTGATATCAGGTCCCAGATGCTTCCATTAGTCAAGGGAAGGACATTAAGTGAGGCCGATGGGAACACTCACCCCAGAAAAGAGTAATCGCCACAGAGCCCTGTCCTGCTTATTTCATACACTGGGGTCTTATGGAGGTGGTAGTCTTGAAATGAAGGCAAAGGTTCAGATAAGCATTGGATTGGGTGTCCAGGAAGTGCAAGGAGTTAACATAGAGACACAGAGTAAGGACCAATAGGAATCCACTCCAGGATATATGTCGCCAAAGAGCCCTGATAACTTTTTCAGCCAGGGAGCACTGGGCAGGGATCATGTGACAAGCACCCACTCCTCCTTTTTGAGGGTTTCTGTCATGTGAGGTTCTTGATTAGTGTACCTACATCATATCAGATCAGTAGACAAGGGAGGCCGGGGCCTGTGAAAAGTCACAGTAAGGACCCCAAGTAAGGTCCACAGAGGAAAAAGGACACAGGACACAAGGACAAAGAAAGCTTCACAGTGTACAGCCTTTGTTATTAACACTGTGAATCCCCAGTAATTGCAGATAGGTAGTGTCCTTTATCACTTCCTTCTCAGGTGACTCAGGAGGATGAGGTATTCTTGAAGGTGGAGAGTGGCATTAGTATACTGGTAAGTCACCATCACTAGCCAAGTCAAGGAGCCCGAATGAAAACTAAGGGCCACCCACCCCAGAAGAGCAGGGATTCTGAAGACTCAAGTACTGCACTGTTGTCAGCCCTGAGTGGGTATGGGTAAAGCTGTTAGGTGGAGGTGACACCTCACTACCTCCTCCAGGGTCTTGAGGAGGTGGAACCTTTTGTCTGAGGGGACAACATTAGGTTAACAGAAGGAAGGATCCCAGGACCAGCCTGGATTCAAAGTAAGGCACCTGAGTAATAACTGAGGGGACTACCCATACCATTACAGTGCCTCTCACAGAATCTAGGTCCTGCTATCAGCCCTGGTAAACTCCAGGTTGGGTAACTGGAGGAGGTACCTGACACTTCCTTTTGACTTTGGTCTTGGGGGCACAGCCCCACATTACCACAGGGGAAGTGGCACAGGCCCTATCAGGTGCCAAGTTACTGGCACTTCTGGCCATCAACTGATGACATTACCCTCCTCAGAACAAAAGGAGCTGTACTGAGCCCAACTACAAGTGTCTACTGTGAACCTGAAAAATTCTCACGTTGGGTTGGCTGGCTGCACCCTGAGAATTCTCACTTCATCCTTCAGGTTCTTGGTAGACCCAGAAAACACAATATCAGATCTGTGAGGCTCTATAACACTGCTGTCAGGAGAAGTCTATAGGCAGTGGCTTCCATCAGAGCTACCGCAGTTGAGTTTACCAGCTGAGGACATTTACACCCTTTCTCTCTCCCTTAGGCAGTGATTCTTCATTGCCTGCCCTCCTGTCCACACTCCTGCCTACTGCCACCCACAAGGGTCATCATGTCTCAGGATCAGGAGAGTCCACGATGCACACATGATCAGCACCTTCAGACCTTCAGTGAGACCCAGAGCCTGGAGGTTGCACAGGTCTCCAAGGCTCTGGAGAAGACCCTCCTCTCCTCCTCCCATCCTCTAGTGCCTGGCAAACTGAAGGAAGCTCCTGCTGCTAAGGCAGAGAGTCCTCTTGAGGTTCCTCAGAGTTTCTGCTCCTCTTCCATTGCCGTCACAACCACCTCATCAAGTGAATCTGATGAGGCTTCCAGCAATCAAGAAGAGGAAGATAGTCCAAGCTCCTCAGAGGATACATCAGACCCCAGGAATGTGCCCGCAGATGCTCTCGACCAGAAAGTGGCTTTTTTGGTGAATTTCATGCTGCACAAGTGTCAGATGAAAAAGCCAATAACAAAGGCAGATATGTTGAAGATTATCATCAAAGATGATGAGAGCCACTTCTCTGAGATCCTCCTGAGAGCTTCTGAGCACCTAGAGATGATATTTGGCCTTGATGTGGTGGAGGTGGACCCCACCACCCATTGCTATGGCCTCTTCATCAAACTGGGCCTCACCTATGATGGGATGCTGAGTGGTGAAAAGGGTGTGCCCAAGACTGGCCTCCTGATAATTGTCCTGGGTGTGATCTTCATGAAGGGCAACCGTGCCACTGAAGAGGAAGTCTGGGAAGTGCTGAATTTGACGGGAGTATATTCTGGGAAGAAGCACTTCATCTTTGGAGAGCCCAGAATGCTCATCACCAAAGATTTTGTGAAGGAGAAGTACCTGGAGTACCAGCAGGTGGCCAACAGTGATCCTGCACGATATGAATTCCTGTGGGGCCCAAGAGCCAAAGCTGAAACCAGCAAGATGAAAGTCCTGGAGTTTGTGGCCAAAGTTCATGGGTCTTACCCACATTCTTTCCCATCTCAGTATGCGGAAGCTCTGAAAGAGGAAGAAGAGAGAGCTAGAGCCAGAATTTGAGTCAGGGCTGACTCCATTTCCACAGCCACTGTGAGTTCCAGTGCTATGTCTGGTAGCTTCTCCCATACCTAGTGAAGACAAGGATAGATGTTTTATGTAACATTTGCAGAAGGCAGTTAGTGTTCAAGGATGCAGGTCCAGGGTGGGGCTGGAGGAAAAATAGTATATATCATCTATATCCCTATTTTGTATGTGTAACTTGACAGTTTATTCTTTTATTTTTTAATGGCTATATTATTCAGATGATGTTTCTTTTAATAGAAGTTTAGGTAGTTTCCAGATCTCTTAAGTTTTGAATAATATTGGTCATCCATTTAATGTTTTTCATGAGGTTTAGTGGCATATGTTTTGCTGATTTTGTAAAACAGATTGGGAAACCATCTATATTGTGTTCTGATATAGGATGACATGACATTACTAAGAACTCTGCTTTTAAATATCCGTTTAATGTTTTGCATGCAGTTTAGTAGCAAAGGTTTTGTTAATTTTGTAAAACAGATTAGAAAACCATCCATCTATATTGTGTTCTAGTATAGCATGACATGACATTGCTAAGAACTTTGCTTTAAAATATTTGGAATAAAAAATAGATAAAAGATGATCAATGTATTTCTTACTGAATACCTTTTAGTTTTTTGTTTTGTAAAATTAAATGATATATGCATTAATTTGCTTAACTTAGAAATATCCGAGAAATAGATCTCCATAAATTGCACAGGATCCTCACTATCTCTTTTATTCCCCAAACCTTAGTTAAGCATTTGCTCTTTAGTAATAATCAGAATAATACTGGAATGCTAGGATGAACAAAGCCTAGGACCTCTCCTTATAATTCTAACTTATAGGAACAGAAATCTTACAATGATGGTTGTGGGATATTTTCTGATATCTAAAGGACAAATAAAAGGAGTTAATAGGTAAGTTGGGGGGAATCCATATGAGACTGTCAAATATAGATTCCCTGAGGCAAAGAAATTTGGGGCTTTGAGAGATTAAAATTCTTTCAATGAGTATAATTTTTAATTTAATTCGGGTGTGGTGAAAGATGAGGCTGAGAGAGTGGTGATCAGGGATCAGACCTCAAGATGGCTTGTCTCAGAGTTGAGACCCAAAAGCCTGGTGTAGAAAACTCCTCATCACAGTTACCTTGGGATCATGGTTTAACCAGAGACAAATCACCCAGGGAAGGAATGGAAACTGTTCTGCTCTTATCCGTATGTCACTGAACATAGTTCATAATTAAGTCTTGTTACATGCATTGTCTCAAGGAGTTTCTGAGAGATACCAGTGACACTTTCTTGAGATGAAATACACAAAAGCCACTGGGTTGGTAGTCATTACCCTGGGTAAGAAGAACCAAGTACCACTCCACTTAAGGGATATTTAGAATAGGTTATCTTCAATATATTTTAATTACTTACTCTAAAGAATGTTTATATTTTTGGTGGGGGTGAAATAAATGAAAACACGGGTAGTTTGGATGGAGGCGAGGTGTTGGTCCTTGTTAACTGTTCTAGGAGTTGCATCAGCTAAAGAAGAAACTCTCGCCCTCATGATTGAAGGACATAACTTCCGAATGGAAAAAAATGGCTGAGATTTACTTTTCAAACAGCATTTGGTTGATGTGATATTTCATTTTCTATAGCACTTCTTGTTCTCCTCTGAGACATACTAGCTTGGAAAACATCACTAGTGGCAGGTAGGGTCAGTGATGAAAATAATCACGGTAATAACTGCCTTTCATTAAAGACCCAAGATATGCCAAGCATTGCGCCTGATGCTTTTCATACATTGCATTCTTTCCAACAGTTTTTTATCACATGCATTAACAAACTCACCCCTAGGATGAAGAATCTAAGATTCATAAAGCTTGGGCATGTGCTTGAGTTCACAGGTCTCATATATGACAGACCTGAGATTAAACCTGTGGTCTGAATTCTTCTAGAGCCTACTCTGTTCCACTTCTCCATCCTAATGGCCAGTCTTCTTTTTTCTTGATTCAGTTGTCTTTTCACTACTACACAGTGCATCTTGGGATAAAAAGGTCCTTCCATCTGAAGTACCAAAAGCAGGTGTAAAGAAGAAAGGTGAAAGTGATAACCAAATAAAATTTGAGGATTGTCTGTGGGCTTCATTTACATGGGATCCTGATGCCCTTAGCCCCAGGATTCCTTTAAAGTTACCTTTGCCCAGGGGCTGGCATTATCCAGCTCTAGCTCTTTCCTGCATTACCACACCCTTCCCCTGGGTTTTCTCTGATGTGCACTCTTGTCCAAATGGAACCCTGACCTGCTGACTAGCTGCTCACTGTGTCCTCTGAAGGCTGCACCCTGCTCCCAGTGGAACAAACCGTCCAGAATCACCTCCCTTCCCCCGACTTAGGGTATCCAAACTCCCAGGTAGGCCCATTCCTCACTTTAAAACCCCTCTGATAGCAATATCTTGTTCAATGCAAAAGGTCATTTTGACAGTGAAATTTAGACCTGTTCATCACCACTAAACATCTCCAACACATTGTCAAAATGATTTGCAAATGAGCTAGTGAATTATAATCTGATTTGGCAAAGCATCTACTAGTTTTGGGGCTATATCCCCAAGAAACAGGATTTTGAAAACCACCCTGATATTTGCAGTAGAATTTTAATGGGATTTCTTGTTTGACACAGTCTACTGGCCACATAAACCAGTGAGTGAGCTTACCTTAGTGCTTAAAAGCCAAAGCTTCTCCTGTAAGTAGCACATGAGAAAAGATCATCAAAGTAACTATGCAAACATCTGTAGTATATCAAGTCCTGAAAATTCTGGAGTCCTTCTAGACAGTAGAATATAATTTCTTGGTAGACATGATACCATTGGATAATATTAATTGATTAATTTGACTGGGCGCTGTGGCTTATGCCTGTAATCCCAGCACTTTGGGAGGCCGAGGCGGGTGGATCACGAGCTCAGGAGTTCAAGACCAGCCTGGCCAAGATGGCGAAACCCCGTCTCTACAAAGAATACAAAAATTAGCCGGATGTGATGGCAGGCGCCTGTAATCCCAGCTACTCGGGAGGCTGAGGCAGAGAATTGCTTGAATCCGGGAGGTGGAGGTTGCAGTGAGCCAAGATCGCACCACTGCACTCCAAAAAAGCGAGACTCCGTCTCAAAAAAAAAGAAAAAAATATTTAATTGATTAATTTTTAAAAATCTAGGTTTTCACTGTACATAACTGCACCTGTGCTGATGTTCAGGCATTTTTAGTCAGGTGATAGATAGCAGAGAATCCTAGGTCAAGGTTTTGTCAGTGCACCTGTGGGAAACCAAAATAGGCCACCCCAATATATATTTCTTTGACATATTTGGAGATGGCTAGTCAGAGGAGCTGTATAGCTCTGAAAATAGCTCTGAAAGGCTGTCCTTTCTTAGGGAAGATTTACACCTGTAGAAAAAAATCTACATTAGTAAGGCGAACGGGATGCTTGGCAGAGGCTTTCTCTGAGGCCCCCTTATCTGCCTAAGAAGTTTGTAAAAAAGATTCACTCACAGAAAAAGGAGGCTAAAGGTCTGATAACTTTTAAATCTCTTACAGAGAAACTTTTGCCACAGGATACATCTATTCTTTCTTAGGACTAGTACCTAGGACACTATCTGCCTAACAAGAAAGCCTTTGCTTGCCATGCTTCTCTTCAACCTTACATAATTTCAAGGAGCTTCAAGCCCCTACCCCTTTCTGTATGGTATAAAAACTTCAGTTACCTGGCCCTTCTTTGAATTTCATATTTTGTGTAACAGCAGTGCTCTTGCACCTTAATACATTTTTATGAGTTTTTCCTGTTAATCTGTTCATTGTCAGTTTATTTCAGCAGAATTAAAGACTCAAACCTTCAGAGGAGGAAGAATAAATTTCCTTCACCCTTACCTAAAGTAATGAGAAAATTCTCAGTATACTTTGATTATAGTGGTCACTGAAAATAACAGCGCAGAATGGTGCTTTTGAGTGAAATATGGTAAGCCCATACTGTAGATATTTACAGGGTCCTTTTGACAAATAATTGTGATGCTTGTTTGTTACATAGTAGGAGAATCACTTGAACCTTCTAGGCGGAGGTTGCAGTGAGCCAAGATCATGCCGCTTGTTAAAGGATACTAAATATGGTCTGAAAAGGACTCCATACTTCTATATTTGAGTCCTTGTGGATGAAGTGTAACCTAGCTTAATAGACAAAACTGAAAACCTAACTTAGTAGTATGCCCCTGTAACAAAAGCTGAGTGTTGGCTAATCCCAGCAGCCATACTTCAACCACTCATAGACTGCAGAATGTTCAAACTGCATTCAAATAAGCCAAATGCCGAGTTGTAACCAATCTCACTGTTTCTGTACCTTACTTCTGATTCCTATACGTCACTTTACCTTTTTGTCTATAAATTTGTTCTGACCATGAGGCATCCCTGGAGTCTCTGTGAATCTGCTGTGATTCTGCGGGCTGCCCAATTCGTGAATCATTCATTACTCAGTTAAACTCCTTTACATTTAATTCGACTGAAGTTTTTCTTTTATCACACTGCACTCCAGCCTGGGCAACAGAGCAACACTCTGTCTCAAAAAACAAAACAATTCTAACAATACAGATAAGTCACAATTTCTACCTGTATGATATTCCCTCATAATTCAGATCCATCCTCAGAGATAATCACAATAAATAGGGTATATCATTTTAAAGCTAATGCTAGGGTTTCTCATACATAGAGGTGCTATAAAAATATATTGTGATTATTAATCATAATGGCTAGTGAGGTGCATATTATTTTGCCATATTATTTTGCTACTTCATAACATGAATGCAGGATCTTTCTATGATAACACATTTAGATGTACTTCACCTGTGGAACTACCCAGTAGCATGTATGTGCCATGATTAATTTAGCCATCTCCTTCCAGTGTGCACATAATTAGTTTACTCATTTATTGCTATAACTTACAGAACTGAAATATTCTGAACATAAAATATTAAGCTAAAGCCTATTCTGATAGCAAAGTGGAAATTAGGTTAAAGTGGGTAGTGTGTGGAGATTTTAAATTTGTATAAATATTACAAAAATTTCATCCCCCAAATGTTTACCCATTCATATTCTCACAAAGCAATGCATGTAAATATTATAAATATACATATTTTATTTTATAAACCAAAATGCTTAATTTTAGTGCTTCTCAAATTAGATTCAATTAGAATGACCAGGTGATAGGGAATGGGGCCAGATGAGACACTCACACTTAGTATTGGATGAGGATCCAGGGGGAAATCAATTTTCAGGGTTCATGAAAGAGACCACATGAACCACATGAACCACATGAACATCAACAAAACCAAGTCTAGAGAGCCCAGAGCAGGATGGTAGTCACAATTCTGAATGCAGATGATGTGGTTTGGCTGTGTCCCCACCCAAATCTCACCCTAAATTGTAATAATCCCCAAGTGTCAAGGGCGGGGCCAGGTGGAGATAATTGAATCATGGGGGCAGTTTCCCCCATACTGTTCTTGTGGTAGTGACTAAGTCTCACAAGATCTGATGGTTTTATAAATGGGAATTCCCCTGCACAAGCTCTGCCGTCTGCCATGTAAGACGTGCCTTTGCTTCTCCTTTGCCTTCCACCATGATCATGATGCCTCCCCAGCCATGTGGAACTGTGAGTCCATTAAACCTCTTTCCTTTATAAATTACCCAGTCTTGGGTATGTCTTTATTAGCAGCATGAAAACGGACTAATACAGCAGAGTTTAGTGTAGGATGGAGAAAGGACTAGAAGAGAAGGTGGGGGATCTGGGTGGAGGGTCCAGGGCAACTCAAATGACTAGGTTTGGGGAATCTGAATCACCAGTAATAGCTAGATGTGGTATGGTTATGAGAGTGGACAGGTCTACTGGATGACAAAAAACAGAGGCATTGCAGACACCCATCATCCTTTAGAATGTCTCTGTCTACTGTCAGGCAAAGTATAGTTGTCTCTTCTGCAATATCCAGTAATGTTATTGGTCATTTCTAGGAAAGCTACATGTCTTGACTTCTCTGTTTGAACACTTGCCAGTTTTTCAGGACTTGGACCTGTCTTGATTCATGCTGAAAATGGATATTTCATCCTTTGTACAGTAGACCCTCTCCACTGTGATCAGAGATATGAAAATGGTAGTGAGTAATGAAAGACATTTGAGACACATCAAAAATACCAATGAGCAGTGGAAGGCAGTATCCAACTGCAAGGAGGAAATTAGAAAGGATTTACCCTAGTAGTAATGTTTTCAGTTTCTTTGTAGATACTGGGCTTGGTATGGACATGTCTCTTAAAACAATCCAGACAGAGTTAGACCCTGTGAAGACTGTACTCTTCCTTTCTGAACTGACTAGGGGAAAATGAGATGTGAGGGGCCCAATGAAGGAATCATCACACATATTACTCAGACAAAACTAGGGTCCACCTGCTGGGTCTCACAGTCCAGCAAAATGCAGACAGACTGGGAAATAAGAGAGTTTACTTCTGTAACCAGCCCCAGGGAGAAGGTTAGGGAAATTCACCAGACCAACTCAAAGTTACAAGTTTTTCTTCAGGATTTATATACATTTAAGCTATATGCCTACATGCGGGTGTGCATCTACAAGCAAGAGTGTTTTACTGAATCTATAGCTAATCTTTAACGAGGGTCTGGGGTCTGGTAAGTTTCTCTAGGGCCTTGGGAAAATTTCTTAATCTTAAGTGGACCCTGGTACCAGGTGTATGTGTAAGAATGCTTTTATCATTGGATCAGACGTTAGGGTCTGAAAAATCCCAGACAGGGTCTTAATGGGTTTGTTTTCACATTCCAGCCCTTGTACTCAGGCACCAGTTTCTCCAGTTCTTTAATGTTTAACTTATACATTCATCAGAGTTATAGTAAAGGGTTAGTGGAAACTGGCTTCTCTAGTTGCTAATGGAAACCTGGCCGGCCAAAATATCACCTTATTACAGGCATCTCTAACTCCAAGACACTGCTTGGGCCTGGGGAGGAGAGATCCATAATTATATTTTCAAGGAAAGTTTCCCAAGGGAATTCTCAAATTAGGTCAGCAGTTACAACTTAACACATTGAGTTTCTTTCTTGGATTCAGAAGAACTTGCCAAGTGGTAAGCTCCAAATTTTGAGTCTTTAAATGTGAGCCTGTGGTACTTTAATTCACTCATTCTTTCATTGATTCATCTAGCAAACAATGTCAAACATATGCTGAGGGTGCATCATGGACCATAAATGGGAATGTGTTGAAAGATGAAAATCACTATTTTCAAAATTCGATGAGAACTCCGGTAATTACCAAGGAAACTTACTGTGTTTTTGCTGAAGTCTGACTTTGACTTCTCTGAAGATTTGGGCATCACAGGCTGCTCAAATACTTACAGGTATCATTTATAAAAGGAGTAAGCTTTTTAAAATTAGTTAATTTATTTATATCTGATGTTCATTAAGATGCCAGATAATTTTAATTATCATTTATCTACAACATATTTGTTGCCACTTTCCAATTTTAGGAAAGAAATTTTGGAAATCATAGTAGAGTCCACATGAACTGTTATTGTTTGATACTCTTGGAGCTCTCATAACCAGCCCTGAGATCTTAAGGAAGCCACTAAGTCTTATTACATTTATGACAAAATGACCTTGAATATATCTATTCCACCAAACTTTAGTATTTCATGAAGCAGTAGTGACAGGTGGTTAGAAAAAAAAGCGAACTATTCTATAGAAGCATCCCAGCATTAAAGAAATACATAATTCAGTAAAAGAATAATGACAAGTAGACAAACCACAGTGTTATTAGGTAAAAGATGGCAAGGTATTCAAACAAAAGTTCGAGGGAGGAAGTGACATTTGAAATAGGCCTTGAAGTATGCTAAAATTTTGAAAAGGTTGTTTTTGGGGCAAGAGAAAAGTTATATTCCATCAGAAAAAGAAAGTGGTGTAAGGCAAGGAGATAGGTAAGCTAAGTGTTTTTCGGGAAAAAAGAAGTATGATTTGAGTCATCCATAAGAAAAGAGAAAGCAAGTAATGAGTGATAAGATTTAGGAGTGCTGGGGCCACATTATGAAGGGCTTGAATGCCAGGATGAGGGGTCTTATTTATAAACAAAGAATAACATGACAAGCATACCAATTCAGGCAGATCAGACAGTAGTATTTGGGGGAAGTACTTTTCCCAAGAAAGCTGTATTAAAAAGCAGAAAAAGTAATTATACTGATAAACAAGATAAATTAGAGATTGGGACTGAAATGCGTTTGAGCTGAAATACAAAAAGGCAGAGAAATAATAGTAGAGATAATAAATGGTCACAATATGTACTGGAGCCAAAAAAAGGGCTAGTATCAGAAAAGGGGGGTGTTCTTTCTATCAGTTTATACAGTGCCTAAGGTCTTCTAGAAAGGAAAGAGCTATATGCTCACTTTGGCATCACATAAACTAGAATTGAAATAAACAGACTAGAGGTAGTGGGGGAAAATTATTACCTGCAAAGTATTAACATTGCTGTGAGGCAGGAATACAGAGATGTATACATTGCCACCAATTCAGCCACCAACTCTGTCATTTTCAAAGTACAAGGAGTTCTCTGCACTCCATGAAATGAAGATCTACTATGTCTTAATGACACATAATCCACTTGCCAAAAAGAGTCCGGGTCTGACCTTGAAAACCCAAATAGTGTGAGAGCCAAGCAGACCAAAAGAAGTGTCATGTGGAAATAATACACTTGACTGTGATATTTGGCATCAATTAATGGAAAATAATGTTCTCTCTGATAATCTGCGGATCTACACTTCCTCATATACTCTTCTTCTGCAGAAGAAGAGAAGGGTATATTCATTCTTGTTTTATTAATAGGAAGTAAAGCTTACCAAAGGAAGAAGGAGGTTGTTAGCAAGAAAATAGGAAAGTGACCTGTTCTAATAGAGAGGAAAGCAGACTGGGTATGATTTGAAGAAAATGGGGACACACCTAATGCCAAAGTATCTTCTCAGTATTCTGTTATCTCACATTTATTCAATAGAGACAATATTAGACAACAGACATAGAGAGATTATTTCAGAAAAAATCAAATTTTTTTTTTTTTGAGATAAAGTTTCTCTCTGTTACCCAGGCTGGAATGCAGTGACGTAATCATGGCTCAGCTCACTGCAGCTTCAACCTCCTGGGCTCAGGTGATTCTCCCATCTCAGCTTCCCCAGTAGTTGGAACTATAGACACATGCCACCACACCTGGCTAATGTTTTTGTTTGTTTGGTTGGTTGGTCGGTTTCTTTCTTTCTTTCTTTTTTTTTTTTTTTTGAGACAGGATTTTGCTATGTTCCCCAAACTGGTCTTGAATTCCTGGACTCAAGCAATGCACTGCCTCAGCCTCCAAAAGTGCTGGGATTACAGGTATGAGCCACCACACCCAGCCAACAGCAAAATTTACACTTATATTTTAAATTTTGTTTGATTCTCAGATTTACTTTTAAACCATTAAGAGAAGGAGAAGTTAATTTCAAAGTGAGAAATGTGGCCCTGCTGGGCCTTGTGTGATGAACCAGCCTGCAAGTGTGAACCAAAGAAATCAATCTTAGGTGATGGGAAATGTGTTTATTGGAGCAAGAGGTAACATTGTTACTGAAACACCGGGGTTTGGTCTAGGACCCATCATTTGCCACACAGAATGCCAATCGCTGAGACAATGAGTATTTACCAAGGACGAAGGCTTTAATTGGTATTGCAGCGGAGGAGAACCAGAGATCTATCTGAAATAATCTCCCTGAACCAATTAAAATTGGGTTGTTATATAGAGAGGGAGGTGGGAAAATTAGGGAAAGGTAAGGAAGCAATCATGATGGATAAGAGGTCTGGTGTCTCATTGTCTGGATGTGGTGATCTGATTAATTTCAGCTCCTTGCCTGAGGGACGATTTTGTGAGGAAGGAACTTAGGTAAGACAAATGTAAGTTTCAAGTTTTAAGACCAAGAGGGTCAACTTCTATGTTTATTTGAAAAAAAAAACAGTAAATATCAGTTCTATGGGACAATTGGGTCAGTTTCACCCCCCTTTTCTATTTTTCAATTTCTCAATCATGGGAAATCTGGTAGTCAGTCTTTCTGGGTGCTTTATGCTGGGGAGGGGCATCGTGGGATAATAATGAAGAATAAAACATTACCCCTGTAACTGGAAGTACTCACAAGTATTTGGTCAGCATTTCACTTATTGGATAGCCATGATCTGGGTACATTTATCTTTATTTTGGAACAGCTTACCATATTCACTGAGATGATTAATAACACAGATAACTCAAATTTTAAAAATACCAAAGCTAGGGTCTTTGGCTGGTCTTTGAATAAGTCCATCTGAGGGTTCTCAAGACCATGTCTGTTTCCCCTGGAAGGATCCCAGAGGGACTGGTTTTACCTGAATATAATACATAAAGCCAGTTGCCCATGGCTTGCATATGAAGTATATCAACTGCTTCATCTGGGGTGCTCCACTTGACATTGATAAGTGAAGTTGGTCAGTTCCTTTTCTCAGGGTAAAAAGATCTTACAGCGACTTGTGTCCAGTCCATGAGGCTGGCTATTTTCTCATGAATAACCTTCTGTGTGTCTGAGTCTTATATACCCATCTGTGATTGTTCAATAGAGAATTATGTGTCCTGCCTCAACCAACACATGCTCTTCCATTCTCCAGCATTTAAAACCAAAGACATTGCTTCCAAATTAGTTACTCTCATAGTCCATTTTAGAAAAGGTTTCTCAGGAAGCTGATTATACCAGTCTACAAAATGGAACAATTCTTTCACATTATATCATCTGGTTTCAATAGTTATTGAAATGTTTGGCTCTGCACTTTTGCCACATTGACTACCTTGTTGGAAACCATAGATTTCAAGAGGCATTTTCTGGTTCCCTGGTGTAATTTTCCCTTTTGTGGGTAGGCTTGAGGCTAGTAATCAGAGCTCAGACAGACCCATATCTGAGCTTGGTCCAGGCTCAAGGCTTAATTCAGTATTCTCTTTACTTTCATTTTATCCATTATAGATAACAATAACCAAGAGATTGAATTTCACTTTTTCCTCATTAGTTTGCATTTCCTCATGCATCTATGAACCATCTCTCAAAGAACTGGATCCATCTTTAAATTTTATTGATAACTTAAACCTTTAATAACTGAATGCAGAACAACTGAGGCTCCATACCATGGATGATCAGGGTGCCACCCAAGAATCGAAGGTTAATCTAATAGCAAGTGTACTATGGTTTTCTTCTTAAACATATTTTTTCTTTCTGTAGTACCCCATTTATACCAAAGACAAATCATAGTAGGACTAATTTATTTGAAAAATAAGTTTTAGTCTTATTATACTTGGCCTGATCATTTGCATAAAGCACAGCAATAATTAATGTCCATGTAGTCTCTTTTAAATTGTTTTTGCTGGAACTTTTTATTTTTATTTAAAATTTATTTCAAATAAATTTATTTCAGATTAAATTTTTAAAGGCCTCTCAAGTCCAGCCAAGGATTTTCTGTGCCTGCAGATATCATTATGAATTTAGTTAATTCCTCTCTTCTCGAGAGGAATTTACTAAATTCCCAAATATTATTCCCAAAATAACTCAAGATTCTTGGGCCTGTCAGAAAGTGACATTATTTACTTACCACAGGTCAGAAACCCTACTAAGGAGCTTGTGTAGTCTTTCCAAGGGACTTTTATCAGCTCTATAAGTCGACCTCAATTTCTCAAAAAATTCTGCTCATTTTTGAAAATATCATTCCAGTCAAACCCTTGGTAAAATAACCAGTGCCTCCAATTGTGTCCTTTCATTTAAAAAAAAAAAAGCAGATTCTTATTGAATGTATGCAAATAACTATTTTGCTGTGAATTAACCATATTCACAAATAGTTTCAGAATTCTGGGGAAATCAGGCAGAGAGAAAGAGAAATATACTTAAAATTCTGTTTTCAAATATATATTCTACTCAATTGTTAAAGGTTATGAATAACTCAAAAAATCTTTTCTTTACTCTGAAAACAAAATGAATTGGCAATGTCTCAAACCAAAAAAGCCACAAAAAATATTTCAGTCCTCTATTAGTTCAGTGCCTGCATTTAATTCTTGTTCTGCTTCATATTAGGTTAGCAATCTTTATGAACACATCAGCATTTTAATTAGAGTTTTGGAAGTTTTCTCTCTAGTCCAATGGTACAATCTCCAATATTACCAGAAAACTGTACTCAAGAGTTATTTTCATGAATTCCCCTAAAGAAGTAGGTTTTGGACTGTAGCTAACTGAAAGCTGAATTTTTTTTTCTTTTTCTCTTTTCTTTTTTTTTTTTTTTTTGAGAAAGGATCTTACTTTGTCACACAGGCTGGAGTGCAGTGGTGTGATCACGGCTCAGTGTAGCCTCAACCTCCTGGGCTCAAGTGATCCTCTCACCTCAGCCTCCTGAGCAGCTGTGATGATTGGCACACACCACCATGCTCAGCTAATTTTTTGTAGAGATGGGGTTTCATCACGTTCCCCTGGCTGATCTTGAATTCCTGAACTCGAGCAATCTGCCCACCTTAACCTCCCAAAGTGCTGGGATTACAGGTGTGAGCTACCTTGCCTGGCCAGTAAGCTGCTTTTTTGAGAAGAATCAAAGTAAAACAATAATTGTAGAAGACAAAAGTCTTAGGACAGCCATAGTTAAAGACACAATTGACAAGAAATTTTGGTTATTTCTGTGACATACAACAATTTAACATAATCATCATAATTAATATTAGCAACATATCAGAATTTGATATGTTGTTAAGACAACTAATACACATCAGAATTTTAGGAAGCTCATACAGTTTTGTAACACATATTAATAACACATTTATATAAATATAACCCAAAGTAAGTTAAATATTATTTTACATTGGACAATACTTCCTGTATAAGTTTAACATACCAAAAAAAGCCTAATATGTCTCTCTTTGGTTTCTATTATCTAAAAAATCTTGGACCCTATTATCTAAAAAATTAGATTAGTTTGAAGTCAAAAAGACTGAATTTAGAACATTAAATTTTTGCTTTTAGAAAGTTTGTCAAATATCAAAGGTACAAAACATTTGATATCACAAAATAGCATCACAGGTCACTCATTTAGCCAAAATGATACTTCAAAGATTAAAAAAAAAAAAGAAACCTTTATTATTTAATAGAGATGAGACTCAGTTTCTAAAACAATAAAACCTAAGAAAGCATGAAGCCAACTAAATCTGTCTCTCTCTTCCCTTTTACCTGCAGTTTACTCAAAAGGTAAACAAAAATCTTTTATTATCTCTTATTAATATTACATGAAAATTTTGTTCAAAAGAGAACAAATCTCACCTGTGTGTGATGTATCATTAATGTTAAAGCTAATTTTTACAAAACCTGTTGAATAAATCTATCTAATTTTTATCAGTTTAACCACAAGGTAATATTTCCATAAACCTTTTGGGACCTGTTACAATTTTCTATTGAAGAGTAGGTCAATACTCTAAGAAAAGCCTGTTATTCCAACACAGGGCCCCAGATGCTAGTCTTGCATCAATGTGCCTTTGATATTAATATTTAATTTATGGAAAAACTCAACTAATTTTGTCCCTCAAAATCAGCCCTTACAATCTTGTGTGCCCACTTCCGCAGTAATCCCTGGGCCTAGCAGGTTTGAATAGCTTTAATATCTGGCCTTGTGTCTTATTAAAGCAGTTCATTTTGATTGTTGCCTTCTCCTGGATCTGAAGACAAGGCTTTGACTGTTGTCAGTGTTCAAGATTTAGCAGGAGTTGGTGCCTTTTTCAGATCCAGGAGTCAAAACCCTGTAGCTTAACAGAATAAAAAATTTAAAAGCAATACGGAAAATTACATGGATATAAAAGCCTTAATTCTTTTAAATTTCAGTTTTCCTATGCAATTAAAAACCTAATAGCAATGATATAGGAACTTTCTCAATAAAATGTAAGACCTGTTACTTAGGCCAGTTACCAAAAGGCAAAGGAAGAACTTCTGCAGCATGATTGCTTCTCCTTATGGGAAGTTCATTTAAGTAACCTGAAAGTCAAACCTGATGAACTATTTAGACATATCAAGAAAAACCAAGAGTACAAAATGAAGTTATACTGGAGGAAAATGTTGCTTTTCTAGACTTTCAGGATAAATAGTTTAGCATCAAGCCACAATAGCAGTTAGAACCAGAGGGAGGAAAAATTGCAGGAGCTGACAAAAGAAGTTGAAAGAGAGAGTTATTATCTCAGGCCTTTTCAAGGGGAAAAAAAAATTGAATGCAGCAAGACACGACAAAGTTGCACTTCTGAGATATGAATTCTGAGAAGTTTTAAAAAGAAACAGATTATACAATCAAAATCCAAACCTCATGTACAAGATCGTTTCACATACAAAATTATTCTATTTTCCTTATAATATAAGCAGACAGGGAAGGTTTCTCCAGGTATAGGAATTTAATTAACCTGATCAATCAGCCTGTTTTATGGCTTCCTGCCCTTAAGCCTATTCTTCCCCAAACCCTGGGTAGAATAGGGTCAACTCCTTGGTTTAAGTCAGCTCCTGAGATACCCCTGAGAACTTGTAGATGAACTCAAGTGAACTTGCCTCATTACTATGCTAAAGTCTTCATCTTGGGAGGAGCTATAACTTTATGACTGTAACATGCAACCTATGTGCTGACATGATGATTCACAGCATCTGCACCACTGGGGCTCCTCTTTTACATGCATTGACATACGCTTTCACCTCTCAATCACCCCATGAGATCCTCCTGTCACTTTCCTGGCGGGCACTGTTAATGAAGAATATTTCCAGTATCCTCTTTACTTGAACCAAGTAATAAAACTCTTACTGATCAAAATCTGCATTCCTGTAGACAGTCCCTTGTTACTCACCAGGTGAATGAAGCCCAGTATTTTTCAGGTAACAATAACCTTCCTTATGAAAAATACATCTTTATATTCATAAGTTTTTTACATCTGTCTCTAAGTTTTTTACATCTCTCACTCCTACTTACTGTTTTCTTTCTTCCTTATTTCATAAATAACCTTTCTAAGTCCATAATTTGAATCAACCTTTAGATAACTTCTGAATTAGACAAAATTATTCTTTTTCTCAATAAGAACATATTTTCTATGGCAAATTATATATATAGGATTATATATTAACTAAAATTATAATTCTTAGTTACCTTAAATTTTAGTGAAAAACATAAGAAGCAAGAAATCCTATACTATCTATTAGATGTTATCATTTTGTAGATGAGAAGATTCCACAACTTTAAAAAGAAATGCCTCTCCATATTATAACCGTTTCTTAATTGGATGTGACACAGACATTTAACGAGCATGCAAAATACTCAAAATACTTTCCAGATTTTAAGTTACACGAAATATTTACCTACAGGATTTACCTCATTTATGTTTAATTCAGTTTTTATAGTTTATTTAGATTACTTATTAGCAAAGATAAGTTATTAATAACTTATAATTAATAAGTAATTAATAACACAAAGCTAGTTATTATTTTCTTGTTAATTATTTTTGTAACCTGTACATATTAGGTGTTCATCTAGGAACCTTAAAGTTAAGCATATGAGTATCTTCACCAATAACTCAGTAGATTCAGCTGTTTTCATTAAACTAACAACATTACACTTGTCTTATTTATCCAAAAAACCACACAAAGATCATTTTCTTCTTGGCTTGGTTTACAGTCTTATAATCTTTTGTGCCAAACTCTGACACATTAAAATATCTGGCAGAGACAAATATAAAATCCAGACAAAATGTATGCTGACAATTCTGAAGGCATTTCTACTTTTATTTTATCAGTAATCCTAAAGCCAGCTTGTTTATTAAATATTTACTTAAATGATATGAACTTGAAAAATGGGCTCTCATTGGCTGAAGGGCATGCCAGTATAAAACTATCCTTCTGAAATAAGTGGACAAGACTGGTGCCAGGAGGAAAAGGAGTCTTCCAACAGATAGAAAACACCAGGAGCCAGTAAACTGCGTTTGCTGATAAGGTTTCATGCATATGCAAAAGGGGGTAAGATGGTGAAATTTGGCTGGTATATGACCTTCCTATGCGGATGTTGGACCAGTAAAGGAAAATTGCCCCAAGTGATCATATGCACGAATTCAGTAAACACATGCCCATGCAGTCCCTCCCAAGTGCTGACAGGCCACTGCACACGCGGTAATCAAGCAACAGCCTGCCCAAGGGAGGAATTAGGGGAGGACAATAGGAAGCCCAGGAGATGAGCCAATGTATAAAGTCCCAAGCCAAGGACTGAGCAAAGCACTTGAATCTCTCAAGTCATCCACTTTGGTTTCTTCCAAGTGTACTCTGTTTGCTTTCTTTGATAAACTTTTGCCTCTGATTTAAACCTACTTCTGCCTCTCTGCTGAATTCTTTCCTTTGAGGAGGCAAGGACTGAAACTGCTGCGGACCTCTGTGGACTTACCACCAGTAACAGCACTGCAGTTCAAAGACCCGTGGAAAGTTCAAACCTCCTCAGACTCCAAAGAACACTGGGGCCAAATAGCATTACATAAGAATAGCATTTTCCTTTGTTCCTTTGTCTCATAACTATATGCAGAACAATTTTGAAGAATGCACCCAAGAGGGTGGCATTCTAGGATTAAATTCTGATTTCCCACGACTATAGTGACACACACACATAAAGAAACAATAATCAGGGTGGGGCACAGTGATGCATGCCTGTAATCCCAGCACTTTGGGAGGCTGAGGCAGGTGGATCACGAGGTCAGGAGATCGAGACCAGCCTGGCCAACATGGTGAAACCCCGTCTCTACTAAAAATACAAAAATTAGCCAAGCATGGTGGCATGCGCCTATAATCCCAGCTACTCAGGAGGCTGAGGCAGGAGAATCGCTTGAACCTGGGAGGCTGAGGTTGCAGTGAGCCAAGATTGCACCACTGCACTCCAGCCTGGGTGTCAGAGCAAGACTCCGTCTCAAAAAAAGGAAATAATAATATAACAAAAAAAAAGAAACCTAATTGCAGTAGTGACTAACAAGCTCCAGGAATGTACAAACTGAAGCAGTCAGGGTACTTACTTCTTGCAGTTGGTTGGGTTTGTTCAACCTGCAAATGGAAATTACTTCAAAATTCTCCAAACTGAGAGGAGCAGATACTGCTATCTAGGCCCACAAAAAACACTCACCTATTCCTACGTAGATGTCAAATTTCAAAGGCTGCTCTTCCTAGACACTCAGAAATGCAGTTGAGGTTGGCAATGGCAGAGCCAGAGAGAGACTGAAATCCCCTCTAGCCAAAAAAGGGCTGGCAGCTGCTTAGGAGGATTTCCGAAACTCTCCTGGCCCTGCAGCAGCGGAGCCACTAGCGATGCGATCCCAGTCAGGGAACCAATATCTCTTAGGGAAATGCCAGGGGTCCAGTCTAGGTCCTGTTGCTCACAGCACAGAATGCCAATCACTGAGATGAGTATTGCCAGGGAAGAAGGCTTTAATTGGTGCTGCAGCCAAGGAGAATGGGAGATCAGTCTCAAATCTGTCCCCCTGGACCAATTAAAAGTGGGGGCTTATATAGCAGAGATGACAGGGAAAACAGGAATTAGGGGAGTACTGAAGCAGTCAAGATGGATAAGGGGTCTGGTTTGGGGGTTTGGTTTTTAGGTTTGGGGGTACATGTGAAGGTTTGTTCTATAGGTAAACTCGTGTCACAGGGGTTTATTGTACAGATTATTTCATCATCCAGGTATTAAGGCTAGTACCCAATCGTTACTTTTTCTGCTCCTCTTCCTCCTCTCACCCTCCATTCTCAAGTAGAACCCACTGTCTGTTGTTCCCTTCTTTAGGTTCATGAGTTCTCATCAGATGTGGTGATCTGATAAGTTTCATTTATTTGCCTGAGGGTCGGTTTCCTGAGGAAGAAACTCACATGAGACAAATGTATGTTTCAAGTTTTAAGATCGGTTATGTTAACTTCCGTGATAATTCAAAAAAAACGGTAAATATCAGTTCTGTGGGACAACTGGGCTGGTTTTAGCATTAAAGGAGAACAAACTGATGACGATAAAAGTCTTGAATTTCATTTGGTGAACACAACTAAACTAATATAGGTAATGTAAATAATTTATTTCAAAAACACGTATTTGAAAAATATATAACAGAATGGCAATGAAATAATTTAAATTTTAAAAATTCATTATCTCAAAGGAAAATATAATTGATATCTCAGAAAATGCAGTAAGAAACCAGATGAAGCTCTTCAAGTGATAAAGCATTTATAACTTCATGATGCATTTAAAAGAAAGAAAAAGTGAATTATACTTTAGTTACTCATAAGTGTAAAAAGACAAATGTCAAAATATGTCAAGTTCCTTTAAAACAATAATTTAATGTGAAATGTCTTTCAAAAATATAGTCATTTCTCTCCATATGTAAATCTAACCACAAAGAATTGTAACTGTATAGGTATATTTTTTCCCTGAAGGTAGTGTTTGCTACTGGACTAGCAAAAGACAAAAGATAAAATTTAAAAACTAGAGAAAAAACTTACATTAAAAAAATAGTGGAGTAGAAAATTAATAAAGTAGATTGAAGTCCTGTTACTCAGTGAGATGACCTTCACTAAATCAACTGGATTGGATTGCCCTGCTTTCCTCATCAATAACAGGAAGAGCTTCCTGATAGACATTTCATGTTATGGCTTCTTGATGTCAACAGCTTTCAAACTAGCCCCTAGTTATAACTAGCAATATCTATTGATGTATTGTAATCTTAAAGAAAATGTCATTGTTTGCCTTCCAAACTTCCTTCTTCTTCACTAAGGTTCCTGCTTTTTGTGGTCTCCATTCCCTTTACCAAACACTGGTTTGACCACAAGTATGGAACGTGATAGGTCAATGGGATCTATGAAGAGCCATGGGGCTATTGGGAAAGGTTTGCCACCTGAAAAAAAAGATAAGCACAAGAAGAAAAACCATTCATCCTGCTCCATGAATGGCAGTATGCTTTTCTCCCTCCCCTAACATGTTTTGCTGCTGAAACCTGATTTACTATCATAACCTCCCAAAAGGCCCATGCTCTGAGCCCCCATTCTTTGTGTAGCCTCAAGATGGTATAAAAGTGTCAACCATCTGGTTGAATTCTTATGCTTTGTATGACTCCCAGGGACATTGTAAAAGAAAATAAACCTCAGAACCCCAAAATTACTAAGCCAAAGGGAAAAGTCAAGTTGAGGACTGCTTCAGGCAAAACTGCCTCCCATTTTATTTCTGAATATGATAGCTAAGAAGATAAAAAAAAGTGTAAACCAAAAATAAAATTTGAAGGCCCCCTGGATCCATCTGAATGGACTCTCTCCTCAGTCAGAGCACCCTAAAATTTAACCTGTAAGACTAGTTCAGGCCATGACAGGAAGTGGGGGTTGGACATGCCTCATTATATCCCTCCAGCATTAACATCAACACAGACCTTAAGTCTGATAAGAAACATTTACACCTTAGGTCTGATAAGAAACATTTACACCTCAAGTCTGATAAGAAACATTTACAATCTATTCTTTCTAAAGCCTGCTACTTGGAGGCTTCATCAGCATGATAAAACCTAGGTCTCCACAACCCCTTACCATAAGGCAGACATTCTTTTTGTAGATAATAACTCTTTCAGCCAATTGCCAATAAGAATATGCTTAAATCTGTGAATGAGCTGGAATTCACCACTTCGATTTGTCCCATTCCCCTAGATCAAACCAATGTAAATGTTACATGTATTAATTGGTGTATTATGTCTCTCTAAAATGTATAAAAGCAAGCTGTACCCTGATCACCTTAGGCATGTGTTGTCAGGACCTCCTGAGGCTGTGTCATGGGCTCGTCCTTAACCTTGACAAAATAAACTTTTTTTTTTTTTTTTTTTGAGACGGAGTTTCACTCTTGTTGCCCAGGCTGGAGTGCAATGGCGCCATCTCGGCTCACCACAACCTCTGCCTTCCAGGTTCAAGCAGTTCTCCTGCCTCAGCCTCCCAAGTAGCTGGGATTACAGGCATATGCCACCATGCCTGGCTAATTTTGTGTTTTTGGTAGAGACGGGGTTTCTCCATGTTGGTCAGGCTGGTCTTGAACTCCTGACCTCAGGTGATCCACCCGCCTTGGCCTCCCAAAGTGCAGCAAAATAAACTTTCTAAATTGATTGAGACTTGTCTCAGATACTTTCTGGTTTACAAATGCTACATACCTCCTTCACAATTTGCCCACAAGGAAATTCCTTGTGGGTCTCAAGACCTTTACTTTAAAACAGTTCTGTTGGATTTCATCCTGGCAATGTAAATTGATAGCTTACCTTCACAAGTGTGGAACAAAGGACAGAACTCAAAGTCATCCCTCTCCTCACCTAAGACAAATGCATATCTGGTTGTTTCCTCTGCCCTATTGTTTATGTAAAAATGCAGATTTGCTGAGCCAGAGGAAGGTGTAAGTGACTATTCCTCTAACCCCCTCTCACATGTAAATTGTGTATTCAGTGAAAGGCTGATCAAAGACCCAAAACAATGCAACCATTTGTCTCTTATCTACGGATGACCTGGAAGCCCCTGCTTTGAGTTGTCCTGCTTTTCTGGACCAAACCAATGTACATCTTAAACATGTTGATTGATGTCTCATGTTTCCCTAAAATGTATAAAAGCAAGCTGTACCCTCACCACTCTGGATGCATGTCGTCAGGACCTCCTAAGGCTGTGTCTGTCATGGACACATCCTTAACCTCGGCAAAATAAACTTTCTCCTTTTAAAAAACTTTTATTTTAGGATTGGGGGTACATGTGAAGGTTTGTTCTGTAGGTAAACTCATGTCACAGGGGTTTGTTGCACAGATTATTTCATCATCCAGGTATTAAGGCTAGTACCCAATAGTTACTTTTTCTGCTCCTCTTCCTCCTCTCACCCTCCATTCTCAAGTAGAACCCACTGTCTGTTGTTCCCTTCTTTATGTTCAAGAGTTCTCACCATTTAGCTCCCACTTATAAGTGACAACATACAGTATTTGGTTTGCTGTTCCTGCATTAGTTTGCTAAGGATGATGGGCTCCAGCTCCATCCATATTCTACAAAAGACATGATGTCATTTTTTTTCTGGCTGCATAGTATTCCATGGTTTATAAGTACCACATTTTCTTTGTCCAATCTGTGATTGATGGGCATTTAGGTTGATTCCACGTCTTTGCTATTGGGAATAGTGCTGCAATGAACATAATATGTGCATCTGCCTTTATAGTAGAATGATTTATCTTCCTCTGGTTATATACCCAGCAATGGGATTGCTGCAAATAGTATTTCTGCTTTTAGCTCTTTGAGGAATGATCATACTACTTTTCACAATGGTTGAATTAATTTACACTTCCACTTGCAGTGTCTGCATTCCCTTTTCTTTGCAACCTCACCAACGTTGGTTATTTTTTGACTTTTTAATAATAGTCATTTTGACTGGTATGAGATGGTATCTCATTGTGGTTTTGATTTGCATTTCTCTAATGATCAGTAAAATTGAGGGTTTTTAAAATATGCTTGTTTACCACATGTATGCCTTCTTTAGAGAAGTGTCTGTTCATGTCCTTTACCCACTGTTTAATGGGGTTGTTTGTTTTCCTTTTGTAAATTTGTTTAAGTTCCTTAATGATGCTGGATATTAGACCTTTGTCAGATGCATAGTTTGCAAAAAATTTTTTCCCATTCTATAGGTTGTTCATTTATTCTGTTGATAGTTTTTCTTGCTGTGCAGAAACCCTTATGTTTAATTAGATCCCATTTATCAACTTTTGCTTTTGTTGCAATTGCTTTTGGTTTCTTTGTGATGCAATCTTTGCCCATTCCTACGTCCAAGATGGTATTGCCTAGGTTGTCTTCCAGAGATTTTTATAGTTTTGGGATTCACATTTAAGCCTTTAATCTATCTTGTGTTGATTTTTGTATATGGTGTAAGGAAGGGGTCCAGCTTCAATGTTCTGCATATGGCTAGCCAGTTATCCCAGCACCATTTATTGAATTGGAAGTCTTTTCTCCATTGCTTGTTTTTGTCAGCTTTGTTGAAAATCATATGGTTGTAGATGTGGGATCTACGTGTGTTTCTGGGATCTCTACTATGTTCTATGTGCCCGTTTTTGTAGCAGTACCATGCTGTTTTGGTTACCGTGGCCCTGTAGAATAGTTTGAAGTTAGGTAATGTGATGCCTCCAGCTTTGTTCTTTTTGTTTAGGATTGCCTTGGCTTTGGGGCTCTTTTTGGTTCCATGTGAATTTTAAAATAGTTTTTTCTAGTTCTGTGAAGACTATTATTGGTAGTTTCACAGGAATAGCATTGAATCTATAAATTGCTTTAGGCAATATGGACATTTTAATGACATCGATTCTTTCTATCCATGAGCATGGGCTGTTTTTCCAATGTTTATGTCTTCTCTGATTTCTTTGAGCAGTGTTTTGTAATTCTCCATTGCAGAAATCTTTCACGTCCTGATTAGCTGTATTTCTAGGTATTGCAGAATAAACTTTTAAAATTGATTGATACCTGTCTCAGATACTTGTGGTTTACAACATTAGTAAATTTACATACCTTTTTTTCCTATTAATCTGCCTTTTATCTGTTGATTTTCAGGAAACCTCCAAAGGGTGAAGGGGAAATTTTTTTGTTTCTTGGCCCCTACAACCCAAAGAATAAAAAGGTATTCTCACAAACTTATAAGAACATGAATAAAATAGAGATTAAAAAGGAAAAGATAAAGCTAGAATTAATTAGAAAGGTAAAAGAATCTAAATAACATGATATTAGAATGTTAAAAAGAATCTCTTCCTTTTTCAGTTTCAACCAAGAACACAATAGATTTCATAAGGAATGCTGTGCCAAATTTACAAAGATGTTTTGGAAGAGATGTCAAAACTCTTGAATCCCTCAGCCACTTTGAAATTATAACAGAGTCAAGAACGATATAAAACAAATTATATACAAGCGAGAAAATATCAGGTTAATCTCCCTTTTTCACCTCCATTTTTAATGTCATGCGACAATGGGGCACTGCCTACACAGCTCTGAGGAAAGCAATGACTCCAAAATTTCATACACAGTCATGATGAATTCATATATGAAGTAAATAAAACTGCCTTTGCAAAAATTGTAACAGTAAAAGAAATCTAACCTAACTGTCTCCACCTTGCTTCTAACTTCACAAGCTATCTGCCTTTGTTTACTTTAAAAACAAAAATGAACTAATCCCCTTCTTGCTTGGGGACCAAAATAATCATTATAGGACTAGTGAAAAGGCCACAAGTTTAGGATTGGGAGGGGCCTGAATTCTGTTAAGATGTAGGCATAGTTAAACAATAACCAGTCATTGTTCTGGAGGTCACAGGATTTGTAATTTCCCCAAAGGCTCCTATAGAAAACATCAGTATTGTTAAAACCTAATTGGTCTTTGAGATTACTTTCAGACTTTTGAATTCTCGCAATCAACTGACTCCACCCAGATCCATGACTCATACCAAGTAACTGGATCAACTGGTCCTGTGACCCCCACCCAGAAACTGACTCAGTATGTGAAGACAATTTGGATACTTCTATAATTTCATTTCCAACCAATCAGTAGCACCTGTTCCCTTGTCTGCTACCTGCCAAATTATCCATAAAAACCATAGCCTCTGAGCTTTCTGGGAGAAGGATTTGACAATTAACTCCCATCCTTCTGCTTGGCTGGCCCTGTGATTATTAAACTCTTTCCTTGCTGCAAAAGCCTGCTGTTCTCAGTGCCATTGCTTTTGTGGGTGGAAGCAGGCAAGATAAACCCATCAGGCAATTATAGAAACAGACAAATACTTGGAAAAAGAGAAAAGTCAGAGACTAGAGATCCTATCAGTCCTTTGGGAAAAACTAAGATAATAATGAAATCCAGCCAGTGAATAATTGGATTAACATAAAGACTTTAAAAATGGAGAATTTATAGTAAAATGATAGTTGGTGAACACTGGTAAAACAGAATGTAAATGTTATAAACATTGACAATTTATGAAATTTTATTTTTCATACACAAAAGTCCCTGGAGGTAGAAAATTGTGAAACGTGAGAATTACATTATTACATTATCTGTCATAGTGGAACGTCAATCAATACTGCATAAAACTGAAACATAGTAACAAAAAAACCCATAATTTATAATATTACTCATAATGTATTTTGTTAAATTTGAGAACTATTTTTAAATTATGGTGTTTATTTTGGTGACAAATAGTTACATGAAGTTTAGTAATTCTTCAATTTAACTTCAAAATATTTTGTCTATTAGATTCTAATAGAATTAAATTTAATACATTTGATTTGATACAGTCTAATCCCATTTTATAAAAAGTAAATCTAGTTTTCTATCCATCCATCTATTTATTTGTCCATCCACCTATCTATCCACCCACTTCAAGCAGTGAATAAGCCTGCAATGCAGTTTGCTTAATGTTAAGAATTGATTCATGCATAGTGAGATTTATGGTTATTTTTACATCATCCTTTTTACTTTTCTGCCATTTTAAATTCTAAATATTGAGTATGCATTATTTTTTAAAGTCATTATGATAATTTTTAAATAACCGAAAACTATTGTTTCAAGTGAAAACAGAAGAGTTATTGTAAGACCTTACATAATTAGCTACTAAATGGTAAAGACAATAATTGCTGTAGTAGATCAGGGGAAGAGGAGAAAAAGTTATAATCATTGCCTATATTTATTTGTGGTCATTTAGCCTTAGCAAATAATGCTGATAATAGTTTTTATTTACAATAGAAACTCTCATCTACTTTTAAATTGTTAACTTTAATGCAGTTATTTGTTACTGTTCGCACATCTTAATGAGCCAGGCAGATGGAGTCATGTTTCAAATACTTGGTGATTCCAGGTAAGTATGTATATAAGAGAGAAAATAGGGTCTGACAATTGGTCTATTTTTATACCTCCATTTTCTGGGATACATGACTATTGCCTTGTTAATCAAAGCTTATTACCATGCCTCTCTAGTCAATTGGAGAAGGTTTGCCTTTCTGTTCCACATTCATTTTGTCTCTTTGGCACTTCTCTGAACTTAGTGCTGAGTTTCACACTAATCACACCATCCATCTATTGACTGACTGTCACTCTCCTGAAATAAAACAGTGTAAATATAATGTAACAATGTCAGATTACCCTATTTCCATTGTCCCTGTGCGTTCTAATCTTGCAACGCCAGTGATAAATATTTATTACTGACATTTAAAGGAACGATTTGGCACCTCTGGAAGAAACAGAAACACTTTGCAAATAATTATTACTTTCTAGTTCAGTAAAATTAAAAGTTAGACATACTTGAAATAAATCAATGCCTATAAATTTAAGACTTCAACACCATATTAATTTTAAGAATACATAAAACTACTAAAAGGCCATTAGAATGTCTGAAACACTAAATGTTGCTTACTTTAACAAACTATTACAAAATGAACACTTTAAATTTTATGCAGAAATTCAGGGGCATCTTTAGATGGTACAAAAAATAAAACATTAATGTTACCAAATATACATAAAGCTCTTCTTCACTAAATAGCATAATAGCAGTATTTTCATATGTGGGAATTACAGTTATTATTTCATCAAAAATGTGGAAATAGCATAAGGAAAATATAATAAAAAGAATTTATTTTGTAGAACATCAGTTATTTGAGCAGACGTTTCCAAATGTCCCAGGTGCTAGATTTTGCTAAGAGTATAGTCAAATGAAAATACTTAGTTTTGTTGGAAATTACACCTTAGCAATAGAAAATGCTCTCTTTGCTGCTTTCAGAACTACCAGGTGATTACAGGATGATAAAATTGCCATTGGAAATCCAATGTAGCAATTGAAGAAAAGGGTCAAAAGGAATTGCACTGAAGATACCTTATGATAGGCATGATCTATTAAAGAAGATACTGGTCAGCAAGGTGTGAAAAAATGTTAGTCAGTAAAAAATGTTAAATATAGTGTTAATGCTAAAAGAGTTTTAAGCATATACAGTGCAATGAGCTATTGGAAATAGAAGGATGAATGTGTAGGAGCAAGCACTGGCAAGCATTACAAAGGCCCCTTATTCACATGAACAGATGTTTATTAAATGAAAAAATATGTATATTTTTATTTGCACCACACCTAGAATAAATAACCACATGTTATGGAGTCACAAACACAGAATGTGTATCTTATTTTGTTTTTGTTTTTGTTTGCCTTTTTAAAATAAGAGGTTTCCAGCAAGTATCTTTAGTTACTAAATGAATATTTCCCCAAACTACTGCGTGGTATCTTGTGCTCTTGGACAAGTTTATAGTAGTCTCAGGGCTAAGATATTTTAGTCAGCAATCAGTGCTGCTGCCAGACTAAATGCATATTTTATTATACTGTCCCAGGCTCATTCATCTCCCATGACTCTCCAAGGCCTACAGAATGAAGTTGTAAAACATCTGCTTGGCTTTCACAGCCCTGGATAGTTGGGCCATGTAGCCAACTATTTCCAACTTTACTACTTACTACTGTCCAACAGGCCTCCTGCTATCAAGCTAGTCCCTCGCTTGTGATCCTTCCGCATTACATCATTGCTAAGAAACTCTAATGAGAGAAATATAGTAGATCTGTTATGTAATGTAGAAAGAGCTTATCATGTTGACTCTACTGCTAAACTCTCAAGGTTTTGGGAAAATCCAAAAAGAACTTAAAATACTTTATTAATGCCCCATTTGGCCTATTTTAGAATAGAATATACAGAAAGATGACACTCCCCACCACCAACTAATCAGTTTACCCAAATAATATGCAAGCATGACCCACTTCTTCCCCCTGCAGTGTTTAAATCTTGTCTCTGCTCTGATTTTTATGCTTTCTGTTTCTGTTCATGTTAAATGAAGTCAACCTATTTATTGGTTTTCCTTGTATACAAGTAAACAGTGTGCTAAAAATAACCTCTAGGTCCCTGAGTTATTCTTTGGCATTCCAATCTTTACTCTTTTGTATTGTTTTTTAGATCTACTCCCCAATTTTCATCTTCAAGAGAAATCCTCCATGCTTTCCCATCCAGATTGTTCATCTCCATTCACGACATTTCTTTAGCATTTATCATTCCTACCACTTGCTTTGTATTCGTCTCAACAAATTTACAGAGTATCCCAAATAAATCCAAAATCAGGGTTTTGATGTGATTCTTCTTTTTAATACTCAACTTTCTCAACCTGTGCTTTTCATTCTTAGACACACTATCTCTTTATTTTATTTCCTTTTTTTATTTCAATAGAATTTGGGGTAAGAGGTGGTGTTTGGTTACATGAATAAGTTCTTTAGTGATGATTTCTGAGATTTTGGTGCACCCATCACCCAAGCAGTGTACACTGTACCCAATGTGTAGTCTTTTATCCCTTGCCACCCCCTACCCTTTCCTCTGAGTCTCCAAAGTCCAATGTATCATTCTTATGCCTTTGCATCCTCATAGCTTAGCTCCCACCTATGAGTAAGAACACAAGATATTTGGTTTTCCATTCCTGAGTCACTTCACTTAGAATAATAGTCTCCAATTCCATCTAGGTTGCTGCAAATGCCATTATTTTGTTCCTTTTTATGGCTGTGTAGTATTCCATTTATATATCTATCGATCACATTTTCTTTATCCACTCGTTGATTGATGGGCATTTGGGTTTGTTCCATAGTTTTGCAATTGCAAATTGTGCTGCTACAAAAATGCATGTGCAAATATCTTTTTCATAGAATGAATTATTTTCCTCTTGGTAGATACCTAGTAGTGGGATTACTGTATCAAACAGTAGATCTACTTTTAATTCTTAAAGGAATCTCCACACTGTTTTCCATAGTGGTTGTACTAGTTTACATTCCCACCAACAGTGTAAAAGTGTTCCCTTTTCACCACATCCATGCAAACATCTATTTTTTTTTTTTAATTTTTCAATTATGGCCATTCTTGCAGGAGTGAGGTGGTATCACATTGTGGCTTTGATTTGCATTTCCTTGATAATTGGTGATGTTGAGCATTTTTCCATATGTTTGTTGGTCATTTGTATATCTTCTTTTGAGAATTGTCTACTTATTTAATTAGCCCACCTTTTGATGGGATTGTTTGTTTTTCTTGCTGATTTACTTGAGTTATTTGTAGATTCTGGATATCAGTCCATTGTCAGATATATAGATTGTTAAGATTTTCTCCCACTCTGTGGGTTGTCTGTTAACTCTGCTGCTGATTATTATTATTATTATTATTATTTTGCTGTGCGGAAGCGTTTTAGTTTAAGTAAGTCCCATTTATTTATCGTTGTTTTAGTTGCATTTGCTTTTGGGTTCTTAATCATGAAGCCTTTGCCTAAGCCAACTTGGCTTCTTTCAGACTATTCTTCTATGTCCTTCCTCATTCTACCACTCTGTCTTTTCTTTGCTGATTCTTCATAGAATTGTCTTCTTCAACTTTCTCTTATATTCCTTATATCACTCTTTATATTCATCCTAGAAACTTTGCTTGGCCTTTATCAAACTGTTCTCAAATCCATCACAATAACTACAACCCCATTCCCACCTTTCTAATTGTCTCTACATGGCTCTATCATCAATTCAGCATGGTCAAATGGAGCTTATCATCTTCAGCCCCCAGTCAGCTTCTTTCTTTCGCTCCTTCCAGTGACTCAATTCATAAGTTTTAAAAACATCTCTGACTCTACCTCATACTCCTCATCCAATCAGTAGTGAAGTTCCTTAGATCTGGACTTATAACTGTGCTCACATTGTAACTAAAATGCAGGTTCAGTCACTCATCGCTTGCAGAGTCTAATTAGCAAGAGCAAAGACTAACGTAAAGAAAGTGACTTTGTATTCCAAAGCTAGCTTAGAGGAAGAAGTACAGCTTTCCTGCTTTAAAAGTACCATTTCTCTTCTAGAGAAGAAAGCAGGTGCTGTTAAAAGGAGACTTAGTGTGAATGGCCCACAGGGAAGGGAGCGAACAGCTGAGGGTCTACATGACTAGCTTCGGTGCCTTATCTATCAGGTGGTTGAGCTGACTCCATCATGGACAAAAGTAGTTGTACTTTTGGTTGTAAGCTGACTTTTGTCTCTTGAGGCTATCTCCTGGTGGGATAAGCATGCCCTGTAAGGAGTGTCTGGTGAAGGGAAGGTGTAAGGTTATAATTGCATTTCTAAAGAGCTAAGTAGGAAGAAGGGAACAGGGGAAAAGGGAGAAAAAGAGAAAGAAATAATTAAAATATTTCTTAGAAAAATTGGGGTACTTGGTTTTAACATTGGTTTTCTCTTCCAATAATTTGACTTCTTCAAATTATTATTCTAAGTGAAGTAACTCAGGAGTAGGAAAACCAAACATTGTATGTTCTGACTCATAAGTGGGAGCTAAGCTATGAGGATGCAAAGGAGTTCGAGACCAGCCTGGCCAACATGGTGAAACCCCATCTCTACTAAAAATACAAAAACTTAGCCGGGCATGATGGCGCATGCCTATAATCCCCGCTACTCAGGGGGCTGAGACAGGAGAATCGCTTGAACCCAGCAGAGGTTGCAGTGAGCCAAGATCATGGAGTGCAGTCACTCCAGCATGAGTGATAGAGTGAAACTCTGTCTCAAAAGAAAGAAAGAAAGAAAAAAAAGAATAACACAATGGACTTTGGGGACTCAGGCGGAAAAGGTGGAAAGGGGATGAGGGATAAAACACTACAAATTGGGTTCAGTATATACTGTTCGGGTGCTGGGTGTGCCAAAATCTCACAAATCACCACTAAAGAACTTACTCACATATCCAAGTACAACCTGTTCCCCCAAAACCTATGGAAATAAAAAAAAATTATCTAAAACGGCAGGAGAGATATCTTAGTTAATGGAGATGTTCTAAAACTGAATTTGCAATGGTAGCATGGCTGTAAATGTACTAAAAATCATCATCGAATTGTGCATTTAAAATGGGTGAATTTTATGATATTTAAATTATGCTTCGATAAAACTGTTGTTTTTTTTTTAAAGGAAAAAAAACAAATTATGTCTATGTAATCTTCACATGTAAAATCCCATCCAGGGTAATTTAAAATATTTCCACAGCCAAGCAGCCCTCCTTTAATCCTATAGTTCTTTGTTTCTACCTCTTCGCATTCATTGTATTTTCTGTATATTTTCCAGGTAAATATTTCATTCCAAGTTTTCTTTTTCTTTTTCCTTTTCTTTTGGTTTGGGGAGCAGTGGTATTTATTTGGTTTTTCTATTATTTATCATTGACAGGTAATAATTACAAATATTTATGGGATATACAGTGATATTTCAGTATGTGTATACAATGTGTAATGATCAAACCAGGGCAACTAGCATAACCACCATGTCAAGTGTTTATGATTTCTTTGTGTTCATTTGAAATATTCTCTTCAAGTTTTTTGAGCATATACAATAAATTATAGTTACCCAGGTTTTATTTTATTTTTTGATAGAGATGTTTAAGAACGAAGACAAACTTACTCATTTTTGTAGACTCTGCAGGACCTTGCTTAGTTCCTCACATATGAAACATTTTATCATATTGAAATAGAAGACATTAACTAAAAATATACTAGAAAAAGGGATAATAAATACCTGCTACTTCAAAAGGAAAGTCAAAAGCTTTTGGTCATAAGAAAAAGTTGGAAGAGAAAATTACAAAGCAGAGGAACATAAAGTTGGAGATAATCACTTGGCCCAAAAAACTGGAAGTGCAGTTAAAACAGTTACACCAGTGGATTTAAAATAAATGAGAACACGAGAGAATGATGTAGCAACAGTGGATTTCTTTAAATGTCTTTGGTTCCTTAGAACACATTTGTGAACAAGAGTTTTTGAGTTTTCTATTAATTCTAAGCAGTTATATCTTGGTATACAGCTCTAACCCTAGATGCTTCTAAGCAAAATTACATTTCAGTCCTAAAACCTTCTGCTGAAAAGGATGCCTCTAGAGTGTTTTATTCCCTATCACCTTTAGAGAATTTGCAAAGTGGATTCCAGTGTCCACTTTTATTCTTGAAGTACTGTGTGGTCTCAGTCCGTTTAATAAGGGGATTGTTAACACCTTTAGTTCTAAGGAAAATGTAAACCCTTTCTTCCAAAATTATGTTAAGAAGAAAAAACAATAATTTTCCATCTTCTCATGAAATTCGTAACATGAGCCCAAGCTAAAGGAGATTATCAGCAGCAAAACACACTAGGAATATTGTGGCTGATTTAGAATAAGTGAAGGAAGAGATGTTTAAAGAGACAGAGATAAAGCTGCCATATATATACCTAGGGGGATGGAGGGGAGTGGTTCTCAAACTTTGATGTGTACAAGAATCCAATGGCAAATTTGATAAAGAGAAAATTATCAGGTAAGAATCCCAGAAGTTCTGGCCGGGTGTGGTGGCTCAGGCCTGTAATCCCAGCACTTTGGGAGGCTGAGGCAGGCAGATCACTTGAGGTAAGGAGTTCGAGACCAGCCTGGCCAACATGGTGAAACCCTGTCTCTACTAAAAACACAAAAATTACCTGGGCGTGGTGGCAGGCGCCTGTAATCCCAGCTACTTGGGAGGCTGAGGCAGGAGAATCACTTGAACCCGGGAGGCAGAGACTGCAGTGAGCCGACATCACGCCACTGCACTCCAGCCTGGGTGACGGAGAGATCCTCTGTCTCAAACAAAACAAAACAAAACCCAAAGAAAGAATCCTAGAAGTTGTGATTTAGACCATTCTGAATAAAGCCTGAGAATTGCATTTTAACAAGCATCCTCCAGTGAGTCTATGTATGAAGTCTATGGTGTATATTTTGGGTTAAATTACTACAAGTTCTAGTCTTACACTAATTTTCACCTCAGTATCTACTAAGACAAACAGACGTATTTAAATAACACAGTTCTATTTACATGAAGGTGCATCATGTGTTTAATATTTAAAGCTGGAATTCAGTAAATATACTAATCTCATCTATTAAAAGTCCATTCGTGTACTCTAAGTAGTCATCACTAATGTTTCTAACGGTTCTATATGGTTATACTTTAAAATGAGCAAGATTTAGCAGATGTTGGCCACAGATCTGATTTAAGGATTTTTTACCTTATGTCATTGGAACTATATTTGGTTTTTAGTAAAGCAGAAATGTTCATACAGAACTCATTTTACAATGTTTTAAAATGTCCATTGAACAAAAATTCTGAACTATCTCATTTTATTTTTTAATGCAATCCATGATGTCTTCAACTGGCATCTTGCCAACACAGCTGGGCTCTTTAATTAACACACAGTTAAATTTATGTTAATGGCATATATATTGAAATTGATGTCATAAAATGTAACTATGACAATTCTGGCTGTGAATGAATTTTACCTAACATATTCTACATGGCTTGTGCCAAAATAAAGCAAACATTTAAAGAGAGAGAGAGACACAGAGAGAGAGAGAAACAGATCTCATTGCAATACAAAGAAAAGGTCAGAGAGTTATCTGGTCTCCTTGTCTTTATGTTTAGATGGAAACTGCAGATTTATCTCTTATTACATATGATTATTCTGAAAAATCTGTGATGAGTCAATTTTTATGACTAGAGTCATATTTGAAGTGCACAGGGATGCTATGAAGAACTCCAATAAAGCTAAGAGTCATCCTAATTTTATATATGTTGGTTCTTTTATATATAAATGTATATTTTAAATATCAGCCATTTTATAGCTAATCTTATCTGTAATATTATTCTGTATCTCCTGCCATTTCTAGGCATTCTCAACAATAAATCATAATTTTATTATAATTATGACACTTTTCCAATTTTCCTGTCTGAATTCCTGATAGGTCCTATGGTTTAGTAAAGCATATGAAATGTCTAATTTTAATCCAATGCCTTCTTATCATAGATATTGTGCTGGTGCAGTACCTTGCCAAATAATGTTGACTTGTTGATGTTTATTATTCTTATATCTCTAAATGAGAGACACCTAGTATGTGTGAAACTGTTCTTTGATTTTTTGTTAATTATTTTTTACCAAGATAAAATTCGAATAACAAAATTTACCATTTTAAAATTCAATCATTTTAAAGTGTACAATTCATTAGCTTTTAATACATTAAGAATGTTGTAGAACCATCATCAACATCCAGTTGAAGAATATTTGTGACACTCAAAGACAAGTCATACTCATCAGTCACTTCACATTCTCCCCTCATCCAGCTTCTTGCAAGCAGTAATTTGTATTTTCTAACTATGAATTTCATATAAATTGAATTATAAATTATGTGTCCTTTGGTGTTTTAAATTCTTTTACTTAGCATATTTTCAAGGTTGATCCACACTAGAACATGTATCAGTATTCCATTCCTTTTATTTATTTTTTATTTATTTTTATTTTTATTTATTTATTTTTTTGAGACAGAATTTCACACTTGTTGCCAAGGCTGGAGTGCAATGGTGCAGATTTCGGCTCATTGCAACCTCCGCCTCCCAGGTTCAAGCGATTCTTCTGCCTCAGCCTCCCGAGTAGCTGGGATTACAGGCATGTGCCACCTTGCCCGGCTAATTTTGTATTTTTAGTAGAGATGGGGTTTCTCCACGTTGGTCAGGCTGGTCTTGAACTCCCGACCTTAGGTGATCCACCCACCTCGGCCTCCCAAAGTGCTGGGATTACAGGCATGAGCCACCACGCCCGGCCTCCATTCCTTTTCATAATTGAATAATATTCCATTATATGAATTCATTGCACTTTATTAATCAGTTGTATTGTTTCTACATTTTTGTCTATTGCAAATAATGATGTTATGAACATTCATGTACAACTTTTTGTTTGAACTCTTGTTTTCAATTCTCTTGGGTATATACCTAGAAATATAATTGCTGAGGCATATGGTAATTCTATTATTGACTTTTTGTGAAAATATCAAAACTTACAGACTGATGCACCTTTTTACATTTCCAGCAACAATGTATGAGGATGACAATTTCTCTACATCCTCACCAATACTTGTGATTTTTGGTTTTTTTTTGGTGTGGTTTTGTTGCTTTTAAAATAAATTTATTATATGCACCCTGCTGGGTGTGAAGTGGTATCTCTTTGTGTCCCCAGTGGCAAATGCTGTTAAGCATCTTTTCATGTTTTGGGGGTTTTTTTGGCAATTTGTATATCTCTTTTTTGAGAAATGTCTATTCAAGTCTTTTGCCCATTTTTAGTTGGTATTTTTGCCTTTTTATTGTTGAAATAAAGGTTTTTTCTACATATTCAGTATACTAGGCCATTATCAGACATATGACTTGCAAATATTTTCTCCCATTCCGTGGATTGTTTTTTCATACTCTTGATAGTGCACTTTGATGTACAAAAATGTCTCATTTTAATAAAATCCATTTTATCTATGCTTTCTTTAGTTGCTCATGAATTTAGTGTCATCTCTAATAATGCATTGTCAAACCATCGTCATAAGGAATAGTTCCTATTTTTCTTTAGGAGTCTTAGAGTTTTACTATTGTATTTAGATCTTTGATCTATTTTAGTTAATTTTTATATATGGTTTGAGGGAAGGGTTGAACTTCATTCTTTTCTATATGAATATCAGTTGTCCCAGCAACATTCCTTGAAGAGTCTATTCTTTCTCCCATTGAATTATTGCCACTCTTGTTGAAAATAAATTAATGATATTGATTTCCGTGTTTTCTTCTAAGATTTTATCAAACACATTTTACTGTCCTTTTACATCTTATATATAAAAATGTTTCTCCAGTAGTCTCAATTACATATGTTACAATGTTAACTCTTAACAACTTTTATTTTCAGTGAAAAACCTGGTAAGTAAGCAATTTTAACCATCTGTCAGTTTGCAGAGTGCAGGACAAGGGCAGAGTTGTGTACAATGTGTGACTCTTTGTGTTACAACCAGAGGACATGGCTACCTCCACATGACCCCAGGCCTTACCTAGAATTTAATAGTTGTAAAATAGACAAGTCAAAACAATTATCAAAAATGTTTAGAATCAGTTTGTAACCTTAAAACATCTACCAAAGACAGTATCTGACCTGCCTAATTCAGACCACATGTCTAAGTTTTGAAGACCATTTAATTTTGCCAATAATTTTTAAATTGTCTTTATTTTCCAGAGACCACTAAAGTCACATGAACCAGAAGGCATTTCATTTAAAGTTTTTTATTTTTCTGATAAAATATTTTATTTAAGTGTCTATTCTTTCCTTTTAAGGAAATTACTTAGAGCTCTTTCATGTACTTTGGTAGTAAAATATTACACACACGTGACATATATAAACACACAGACAGAAGCATATCTTATAGAGTTATAAGATGCATTTGCAAACTAACTATCAGGAAGTTGTATTTTGGCTTTTTAACTTAACTTGTTTCTTAAGTAGATTACTGGATTTAGGGAGGGGGGGTTTCTGGTTTTTTTTTCCCCCCAAGGGATCCCAGGCTGTTAGAAATTATTTTAGGTCCTCTCATGTGGGCATTGAGGGTGGCACGAAGAAGGATGGACAGACAGTTGTAAATTGAAAAACAGACAGAATTTTTAAGTGACTAAGAATTTTTTTCTTCTTTCTCAGAAATAGAAGAGAGGCCTTAAAATTATATGTGTGTGTGTGTATAACTATATATATAATTTTATAATATACACATACACACAGAGATCTATATCAATTATAATTAAGTTGGCATTTAACTATAGAGCTCTTAAAGATAAATCTTTTCAAATATTACCAGATCTTAGCTGGGACAAACAGCTGATATTTCAAAAGTAGCATAAATATCAAAACAGAAAGAATTCATTTCTTGTGTTGGTAATTGAACCCAGACTGTCACTGTGACAACACAAAATGTAACCACTAGGCCACAGCATGGGGTGGTCTCCATTGCAGCCAGCAGGCTGCATAGGTGAACCAAATTAACATTTTCTATTCTGGCAGTGAGTAATATACACATTACAAAACACAGACACTAAGGTGCCAAAGACAACCAAAAGACCTTTCAAGACAGAGCTCCAAACCAAAATTTCCCAAGGGTTTTCTTCCAAACATGCTTCCTGTTTTTCATCCAATTGAGGAATATTTCGTCAAGTCAAGACCCTCCCTACAATCTAGGGAGGGCCAATCCAAGACTTGTAAGGGAGTCCTGATGCCTCTGGGAGGCTATGGAATCAGGAGAAGGGAAGGGATGTTGATTGCACTTAGAATGCTCACCTCAAAATCCCAAAGCATATCTTCCAATTCCATAAACTTTTTTCACTGCAAGGAAGTTAAGACACAATAGGTCAACCACACCAGTAAGAACAGTGCCAGGTGCAGCCTTCAGTTCAAAAGAGCTGCACAGCTGCTGTGGCTTGCCTCCTGGTCCACTCCATTGGCAAGGGGCCGCCAAACTGAGAGTAAACACCCTTAGGGCAGATACTGGAAGAGCCCCCAAATTTGTTACAGCCTGATGAGCTCTTCTTGCCTACTGTCATGTGTGGCAGAAAAGAAAGAGTTTAATAATCACAGCATCAGCCAAGCAAGGAGAACAGGGAGAAATTTCTCAAACCTGTCTCTCTGAAAATTCAGAGGCCAGGGTTTTTAAAGGGTACTTGGGTGGGCAAGGGGCTGGGGAACTGGAACAATTGACTGGCTGGGGATGAAATCTCAGGAGCATCTTAAACTGTCTTTGTGCAGCTTAGTTGGTTCCTAGAAGAGGTTGTGGTTCACCAGGTGGTGCCAAAATGCTGAATCTGAAAACATCTCAAAGATCAGTTCTTCAGTTTTCACAATAGTGAAGATATCTATAGAAGTAGTTGGGGGAAGTTATAAATTTTACAACCCAGGTTGTGTGACTTTGGGACAGCCAGCAACTTATAGGAAAACATATTAAGCAATGGCAGGTCGTTTTTAACTATGTCTATTCTTTAGCAAAGTTCAAGCACCTACCATAATTTTAACCTGTGTTAAGAATTAAGCTTCAGTCTCCAGACAACAAAAGGGGCATTTTTCTTGCCTCCAAGTTTAACAATAAACCAATTCCCTCTCATAGTTATCTTAGCATTTGTGCTACAATAAGCAATTATTATTATTATTATTATTATTATTTAGCCTGTAAGATTAGAAGGAAGATGAAGTCAGTCATGTTAGATTTCTTTCATTATTTATGATTCTGGAAAGGTGGTTTAAATATACGGCCTAGTTCACTGCACTTGCTGAGTAAATTCATTAAATAAATACTAATTGAAAACCTACTATTTTGGGGGCCCAGAAACCAATACCCTAAAATATAGCATTTTGGCCAGGCGTGGTGGCTCATGCCTGTAATCCCAGCACTTTGAGAGGCCGAGGCAGGCAGATCACCTGAGGTCAGGAGTTTGAGACCAGCCCGGCCAATATGGCAAAACCCCGTTTCTACAAAAAATAGCTGGGCATGGTGGCAGGTGCCTGTAATCCCAGCTACTTGGGAGGCTGAGGCATGAGAATTGCTTGAACCTGGGAGGTGGAGGTTGCAGTGAGCCAATATCTCGCCACTGCACTCCAGCCTGGGCCACAGAGTGAGACTCAGTCTCAAAAACAAACAAACAACAAAAAAAGTAGCATTTTACAATGCTACATTTAAAATACTACATTTAAAAATGTAGCATTTTAACGTGCTGAACAAAAGAAGCCTCAAGTTCTCACACTCCTCCTCCCCCTCTCTCCACAGTCTTGCCCAAATAAGTTGAAGTTCCTTTATCTTTCTAGGATCCAGACTCACTAAGAAGAACAACTGTTTTTTCTTTCTCTTCCTGTTATCTCATCATCTGTTGGAGAAAAGAAGACCAAGATGTGACCGCCTCTGAGTGGATCTTTTTAGATTTATAATGACTGTCTTTGAGAATCATTAAAATGCCAAAGAAAACTATTTACAAGTTAATCTCTGTTTTCTGATCTAATCATTCCCCCTCACAATGATTTATCGCCCCTCAATTCCTCTTCTCCCCTAACCCATAACCTCTTGCCAGGATCAAAATCCCTATTCTTACTGTAATCTTAAGATGGTGTAATATATGTTTCTATAACCACTGGGAAGTTGGTTCTTCATTCTGAAGGCTCCATTGTATACAAATTAAATAAATTTGTACACTTTTTCTCCTATTAATCAATCTGCCTTATGTCAGTAATTTTTTAGTGAAACCTTAGGGGACAAGAGTCTTGGCCCCCACAGAACCCATATATGAAAGCCTAGCACTGAAATAGCGGAGATTCACTGCTATGCCTGAACCATTCACTTTTTGAGAGCTCTATGAAAAAGAAATTTCTGTCTTATTCAAACCACTTGATTTTGTGTCTATTTTACAGCAGCATTGTCTATCCTTCAACTAATATATTTTTCATGTGAATCAAGCAAAAAAAAAAACAGCTTTAAACACAATTAGAAGTATTACCTTGTATAGCTGAAGAAATACATCTGTACATGCTTGTTTACTTAAGACTTTAAAGATAGTAATAACTATAACAACAAAATTATATTTCTTAGGTAAACAGGAACTCACAGGCATGTTTTAAGTAAAAATCATAAAGAAATAAAATTTTAAAACATTAATTAAAATGGAAAGCAAGCATAAGTCCAAAGTTTTAACTACTTAGTCAACAAATAGTTCATTAAAAATAAAACGTGTTAGATATTTATCAATAGCTAAATGAATAAATCTATGACTCCAATAAGGGATTCAGTGTTCCATAAAGTTACCTAATGACTCATATTACCAACACTTGAAAATGACTATTAGCTCATTCTGTAGTAGAAGTAACAAAAGGAGATATAAAGTTCTGAGCCTGAGTCACACCCTTTGGACTAGGCCACAGGGGCTTAGCATAGTACCAATGAACGGGGACCTGACTCTCCTACTTATGTCACATGGCCAGCATAGTACCAATGAACAGGGTCCTGGCTCTCCTACTTATGTCACATGGCCAGCATAGTGACAATGCCACAGCTAAAGTAGAGTTGCCTCATAGCCTGCAGGCTCCTCAAAAACAATTATCCTTCTCAATTAATTTACATAAAAAGAATGGTTTATTTTGCAGAAACATTATGCATTTTTGCTTTAATTTCTCTCTGTTCAGCCTGAGATTTTTTTTTAACCCCTAAAACTGAAGAAGGGAAGTGGTAATCAGTGGAGAAATGAAGCCATTTTTTTTTTTTTTGAGGATGTATATTTTGAAAAGTCTATTGAGAACAAAATTTACAGAAGCATACAATGTATTTTAGTTCTAAATTTCCAAAGAGATGTAAGTAGATATTTCTGTTAGAGGTGTTTGTAATCATTTTTGCATAGAAACACCATAAAGATTTGTGGAGAAATGCAGTAAAAACAGGGCTGCCCAGAAATAATCAAGTTTTGGGATATTATATAAATGAAACCCAAAAGCTCAAGAATGAAGTTGTCAGAGTAGGCAAATGAGCAGGAGGAGAAGGCCCTGAGAAAAGAAGATCTGGGAAATCTCACACCCAGAGACCACCCAAAATAACATGGGATAGGAACTAGGCGGGGTTGCCGAGGAGAGGGGGAAGCTGAGGACTTAAGGCAGAAGCAGGAAACTAAACTAAACAAAGAGGCAGGAACCTAAAGAGTCCAACATAATAAAAGCCACAAAACGGAACTGTCAGAGCTGCTGGCTCATTCTCTTTCAAGCAGCCCCAACTGCCTCTTTAAATAAACTCTGCTACCACTTAATTCTTGCTGCTACTGCTGTGTCTCCCAGCTGGGTCAACCCACTCTTCTCTTGAAGTATATTTACTTCAATAAACTCCCTGCTCTTTATTTTCCTTCAATAAATTATCTGCTGTTTGTTAAATTGTCCTTTGGCCCAATTCTTTGTACCAAGAACGACAAGAACCAGGGACTCAACTCTTCCCAGCAAGAAAATCTTCTGGCAAAACCCAAACACCACTCTATTCAACAATAACTATGTAGATTGTTCCTAGAAATTACATTCCTTTACTCTAACTTTCACAAAATAAATAAATAAAAATTTTAAATAAAAACTCTGTTTAAAACTCTGAAGTCATAGCTAGTAACCTCCAGGTTCCTGGCATTTTATTTTTCAACTTTTATTTTAGGTTTAGTGTGTACATGTGCAGGTTTGTTACATGGGTAAATTTTGTGCTGCTAGGATTTGGTGTAGAATTAATTTCATTACCCAGGTAGTGAGCATAGTACCCAATAGGTAGTTTTTCAACCCTTGCCCTCCTCCCACCTGTCTCCCTCAAGTAGGCCCCAGTACCTTTTATTCTCATCATTGTGTCCATGTGTACTCAGTGTTTGGCTCCCACTTATAAGTGAGAATGTGCAGTATTTGGTTGTCTGTTTCTGTGTTAATTCACTTAGGACACTGGTCACCAGCTTCATTCATGTTCCTGCAAAGGGCATGATTACATTTTTTTTCATGGCTGCATAGTATTCTATGATATATATGTACCATATTTTTAAAATCCAGCTCACTGTTGACAGACATCTATGTTCATTCCATGTCTTTGTTATTGTGAATAGTGCTATAATGAATTTAGGAGCATGTGTGTCTTTCTGGTTGATAATGATCCGTCAATGTTATTTCATCTACTGTAGCCAATGTACCACTCTGGTGCTGAATGATGGTGGTCAGGGAGGCTATACATGCTGATGGGGAGAAAGTATATAGAAACTCTCTGTTCCACTCAACTTTGCTGTGAACATAAAACTCTCTAAAAATTAGAGTTTATATAAAAATTGAAAAAAGAGAGTCTTACTTTTTTATACAACAGTATATTATCAATGGACATTCTATTTTTATTATAGGGATATCATAAGAGTCAATTTTCAGTATGGCACACATGGTTTCTCTAGTGGAATAATTTGAGGGATCATCTTGACTATAATTTCTTCCATTTTAAAATTATCATAATTATTTACTGTATGTCATATGATATATATAATATTATTTGTAATTCATCTAATAACTAAGTCTTGCAATCTTTATCCTTAACTTCATAGATATTGAGAGCGAAGCTAAAGAAAGGATATATAAGTTTTGCAAGGTCACAGTAGTAGTAAAAAGCAGAAATGAAATTAAGACAGGGACCAACTAATTCTGGAGCCATGTTATTCTAACCCAGTTCAGGGATCTCCTCCAGAATCACTTCTTAGATCTTTTGCCTTGGAAACCATTTCACTAAGAGACACAAATCCTTAAAAAAAAGGTACCAGAATGTCCATGCAAAAAATAATTTTGTTAAAAGTTATTTAAAGCACTTTGCAAAGCAATAGGGGTTGTATTATTGGTGCTCATGTCCTCTATATTTTACTAATCTCATTATCATCATTATGTAGCATGCATTCATGAACGCATTGAACAGTTTTCAGAAAAATAGCGCTTACTGACTGCCAAGTACATTGAGTAAAATAAATCATTCTCACATGCAGAATGTATTTTATGTACATTTTAGGATAGCAGATAAATGGGAATTATAAAATAATCCTGATAGAATGAACATGAACTTTTGGAGGCCAAGACGTGAGGATAATGAGATCAAGAGATCGAGACCATCCTGGCCAACATGGTGAAACTCCATCTCTACTAAAAATACAAAAATTAGCTGGGTGGAGTGGCGCGTACCTGTACTCCCAGCTACTCAGGAGGCTGAGGCAGGAGAATCGCTTGAACTCGGGAGGCAGAGGTTGCAGTGAGCCGAGATCGTGCCACTGCACTCCAGCCTGGCAACAGAGCGAGACTCCATCCCAAAAACAAAACAAAACAAGTAGAACTCTTACTAGAAAATGATCCAAAAATATATTAGAAGAGAGTATAAAAGTTTGTATTTTTTGATCCAGTCATATCACGTTTGAGAACTTTATAATATCTAGAAATGGCTGCAGTCATTTATAAACATATGTTAGCATTTTTTGTTTAACCTTTTTTTTTGCATACTTCTAGTTTCCAACATCCTTGATGACTGAAATATGCCAAGTCATACTTCAGACAAATAATCATGAATAGTCCACTTCAGTTTCTTTAAAAAGATTGTTCATTTTTTTTGTTTGTTTGAGATGGAATCTCTCCCTGTCACCCAGGCTGGAGTGCAACGGTGCGATCTCAGCTCACTGCAACCTCTGCCTCCCAGTTTCAAGCGATTCTCCTGCCTCAGCCTCCTGAGTAGCTGAGATTACAGGTGCACACCACCATGCCTAGCTAATTTTTTGTATATTTAGTAGAGACGGGGTTTCACCATATTGGCCAGGCTGGTCTCAAACTCCTGACCTCATGATCTGCCCGCCTCAGCCTCCCAAAGTGCTGGGATAACAGGCCTGGGCCACCGCACCCGGCCAAGTTTGTTCATTTTTTATGGTCGTCATGATGGAGATAGGGATCCTCTGTGGTTAATGAAAACCACTCATTAAATTCAATATAGATGTTGCAATTAAGTATCTGCAGAGTACTTAGTGCCAATGAATATAAATTATTTCAGAATTCATCCAGAAATTGAAAATATATTATTTCTGACCTGAGCTATAATAGTACTAACATGGTATTAGGTTGTTATTAATCACAAATCTCTTCTTTTCATGTACAATTCTATATACTATTTTAGTGTCAACTACATTAATTCACCCTGACTTTACCTTTTCCTTAAAGCCTTTCTGAAGGAAGTCATAATACATGAGAATTTAAATTTATATTTTATAATACATAACTTGATTAGGAGAATATAATGAAACTGACAGATCACAGAAACAGGGATTTATAACAAGATATCAAAACAGCCAGTTATTTTTTAGGGCCGCTTCTTCCTTTAACAACCAAATTCTGAATTCTAACATTTCACCTCGGATCCCTGATTCAATATTTTCCTCAAATACCTTCTGACTACCATCAGCTCATTAAATTTTACAAGAATTATTTTATTAACTAATTTGCATAAGGACACAGAAGTACATATTAACCAAGTTTCTCACCATCATAATTGTTTGAAGGAAATAATTCACTGAGGTTTTAGTGTTTTTATTGCTGTTCTCTACTTAATTGATGGTTGCTTCCCTGACATTTGCTCATTCTTAAATTGGGGGCAGATTTTGTTATAGTTCTCACACTTATTTGGATGGTAGCTAATAAGTTCTTCTTTGCTGAAGGAAGTGCCATTCAACTTTTAAGTAACTTAAGATATATTCATGCTTCCATAATGAAATATTTCCAATTCTGTTCATACTGCTTCTCCAGACATGCCTTTGATTTCTTTGTTGCTTTTTTCTCTTCATATGAACATAATCTATTTTGCCAGTTCTGAATTATGTCAGCCACTAATTGGGAGATTTTGTGATTGAGCAGAGAAGTGATGTATTTATGAAAATGGTTCACTGGGTAATTCTGCAGTTACATAAAGACCCAAGCCTCAGAAAAGCATTATAGCCCAGTTGGCACCTTGATTTCACCCTGTGGAACCTGAGAAGAGGATCTATCTATGTCATGTTAGACTTTGATTTTCAGAACTCTAAGATAAGTGGGTGTTGTTTAAAGGAATTTAGTTTGTGCTCAATTGGTATGAAAGCAAAAGGGCATTTTTAGCAGTTTGAGGAAAAATAGAGTTAAAAGGTGAAAATATAAAATATAAACTGTATTTCTCAGCCTACGTTCAGTCAAGCTCAAAATACTTTTGTAAGTGATTATACAAGCCATTTAGTCCATCCCCAAAGGACTGAAGGTCTTGAGAATTTAACCATTACAATGCAGTCTTTTTTACATTTTTAACTGACGAGAAATGGGTGACCTTTAAAGATGCTTTTAAGATTAGGAAATAAAACGATGTCAGAAGTAGCCAAATCAGGATTGTAAGGTGAATGCCTAAAGATTTTCCATCAAAACTCTCACCAAATTGCCCTTGTTTGATGAGACATATAAGCAGGAGCCTTGTTGTGGTGAAAAGTACTTTCTGGTGAAACTTTCTCAGGCATTTTTTCTGCTAACGCTTTGGCTGATTTTCTCAAAACGCTCTTGTAATAAACGATGCTTTTTTTTTTGGATGGAGTCTTGCTCTGTTGTCTAGGTTGGAGTGCAGTGGCACGATCTGGGCTCACTACAACCTCTGCCTCCTGGGTTCAAGCAATTCTCCTGCCTCAGCCTCCTGAGTAGCTGGGATTACAGGTGCCCGCCACCACGCCCAGCTAATTTTTGTATTTTTAGTAGAGATGTGGTTTCACTGTGTTGGCCAGGCTGGTCTTGAACTCCTGACCTCTTGATCCGCCAGCCTCGGCCTCCCAAAGTGCTGGGATTGCAACTGTGAGCCACCGCGCCTGGCCAATAAGCAATGTTATTATTCTTCAGCTCTCCATAAAGTTAACAAACAAAATGGCTTGAACATCCCAAAACACTCTTGTCATGACCTTTGCTCTTTTTAATTAATTTATTTGTCTTTCTTAAATACAGTACTTTGAGTTCCTGTGTAGACTTTTGCTCTTGACTAGTCTGCTTTGCTTTGACTGGCCCACTTACACCTCTTGGTAGCAATTGCTTTCATTGTGCTTTGTCTTCAGGATCATAATGGTAAAGCCATATTTCATCTCCTGTTTTAATTCTTCAAAGAAATATTTCAGGATAATGATTCCACTCATTTAAAATTTAAATTGAAAGCTCTGTTCTTGCCTGCAGCTGATCTGGGTGCAACAGTTTTGGCACCAATTGAGTAGAAAGTTTACTTAACTTTTTCAGTCAGAATTGCATAAGCTGAACCAGCTGAGGTGCCTGTGGTGTTGGCTATCGTTCTGCTGTTAATCTTTGATCTTCTTCAATTAGAGCATGAAGATTAATTTTTTCCTCACAAATCGATGTGGACGGTCTGCCACTTCGATCTTCATCTTGACCATCATCTCATTCCTTCTTTAAACAAGTTATCCATTTGTAAACTGCTATTCCTTTGAGACATTGTCCCAATAAAGTTTTTGTAAGGCATCAACGATTTTACCATTCTTTCACCCAAGCTTCACTATAGATTTGATGTTTGTTGTTACTTCAACTTTAGTAGAATTCATGTTGCACTGATAGGGTTATTTTTTCAAGCTGATGCCTTATCCTTCTTACTGCCTCAAACTATATCTTGATTAGACATGTTATAAGAAGTTAGTAAGACTATTTTTGTTCAAAACATTTTGAAAATCATGCATTTTTTCATAATATGCATTTTCCATGAAATTTTTGAAGACTCCTCATATAATTATTTTGCATGCTGTCCCATTTACAAATACAACTTAAAATTTATTGACAGCAAGAATTATTACTTTATTAATTGTGTATTTGTGCAAAGATAGTGATCAATGAAAAATTCTAATAACTGGCCAACTGTATTTAACCAATAATTACCTCTATTATATACAACATTTTATTCACAGACACCATGATCATTGATATCATAGAATCAAAAGTGTTATTTTGGGTTTAGCAGTGATTCTTAAAAGAAGGGAAAGAAAAAAAGAATAGATAGACTACTCCAGCAAATGCTGTGATTGCTCTGCCCTTTCGTCTTTATCCTCTGGGATGTTTTTTACTTGTGCTTTGCTCCCATCATCTGGGGAGGCATAGTGGGCTATGTGTAACCTTCCTCAGCGAACTACCCTTGGGCTACAGGATTGTTCAAAACCAGAAGAACCTGGGAGTTTATGTCTCCTGGGACAGGCCCACATCCAATACCTGTGTGGTGTGAGAATTTCAAATCCCAGCTCCCTATCCTCAAACTAGAAAAACACTTTGGTGTTATTTAAGGTCCAGAGAATCATATAGGATCAAACTGAGCCTGGGTCTTTAACTTAAATTTCACTCTTATTTGGAGGGTTTAAGTCTGTTTCTCTGCTATGTTTGAATGTGTCCCCACCAAAATACAGGGATTACCAATATGATGGTATTAAAAGATGAGGCCCTTAAATGCCCTTAATCCCAGCACTTTGGGAGGCCGAGGCGGGTGGATCACTTGAGGTCAGGAGTTTGAGACCAACCTGGCCAACATGGTGAAACCCCGTCTCTACTAAAAAATACAAAAAAATTAGCCGGGGATGATGGCGAGTGCCTGTAATCCCACCTACTCAGAAGCCTGAGACAGGAGAATTGCTTGAACCTGGGAAATGGAGGTTACAGTGAGCTGAGATTGTGCCACTGCACTCCAACCTAAATGACAGAGCAAGATTCTGCCTCAAAAAAAAAAAAAAAAAAAAAAAAAAGATGGGGTCTTTGAGAGGTGATTAGGCCATGAGGTTTCCTCTCTCCTGAATGGGATTAGGTGTCCTTATAAAAAGGTTTAATGAAGAACATTCATCCCTTTTTTGCCCTTTTACCTTTTGCCATGTGAGGACACAGCATTCCTACCTTCTGAAGGAGGCAGTGTTCAAGGCACCATCTTAGAAACAGAGAGCAGCCTTCACCAGATGCCTTGATCTTGAATTCCCCAGCCTCGAGAACATTGAGAAATAAATTTCTCTTCTTCATAAATTACTCAGTCTTAGGTATTTTGTTTTAGCAACACAGAAAAGACTAAGGCGTTTTCCTACCCCCTTACTGTTTTTTTCCTAGGAGTGTTTCCTTAATATATCACATATCTATGACTCTTCATTTAAGAGTTCGTTTGTAGACAATTTCACTGAAGAAAAATAGAAAACGAACAAACAAAAAGAGAATTATTGGTTCAATCATTTATAAAAAGATAAAAGATAATGAAAATAAAATTTTATTCAGAGAATCAGGTGGGAATAAATACACTAATTTTTGTTACAAACCTACTTTATTGAAGATGACCATATTTGATATCAGATGTTCCCATAAAGAGTAATTGACATAGAAAATCGACATGACCACATTCTTCTATGGAACACAGAACACAGAAATTCTTTAAGTTATGTAACATAGCTATATAGGAAATTCAAACACTGGAATCATTAGTATTACAATATATTAAAACAGAAAAGGTATTTGTGGTTAATAATATTAATATTCTAAGCTTTAATAAAAATATTTTCTGGAAAATATATGATACGTTTTTCAAAAAACAATGGTAATAATATTTATGGATTCCTACACCAATTTAAGCAGACAGAAATATTGAATGGTATGGGCTTCACTCTAAAAATAGTAGTACAGTGACAGTGAAATGAAAAGTCACTCTGACACTATGGATTTCAATTCCGTTCTGGAATTTAAATACCAACCTTCAGACATTGATTATTTATAATGGTTCTACTGGGCATAAATCAGGATGGACATTTCTGGTAACAAGAGGAATGATTTGATGCAGATGTTGATGAAAGTGATGGCAATGGACTTTTACTATTCTTGCCAGGTCCTGTGCTAAACACCTAATATGCATTACTTTATTTCCATAAATTCTCTCAACAGTCTTAGAGATTGTGTATGACTACCTTTCTCAGACTCTGACTCTAATAAAGGTCCTGAAAAAGTCAGTCACACAATTAGAAAAGTAAAAAAGTAAAGAAAAAGAGTCACACAATTAGAAAATAGAGGGGTAAGGTACAAGTTCACCCTACTTATAACAAAACTATAGTCTTAGCCACTGCAATGGGAATGGTTAGTTGCCAGATATGTCTTGCTCTATATATATGCTCAAATTTAGGAAGTCTGCATAAAGCCATCTACACAACAGTGAATTTAAGCACTTGTACCCCTTTTCATCAAATTCTCAATTATGCCATTAAGCAAAATATATTTTAATAATTTCTGGCTGTTCTGCAATGTAAAATTTTATGTTTATTTTAGAAAATAGTTTAAATAAAAGTTCTATTTGTGAAAACTATAAATATTCTCTTAGGTTCTCAGGAGAAAATATATTTGATTTCAAATGCTCCTTGGAATTAACATTAACTGACCTGTACAAAATTGTCTTCACCAAATATTTATATGGAGCACATGATGAATTCTTAAAAGAGATGGGAATTAGCAGGGAGAAAAGGCATACAAATTTATTAACATGCACAAGTGCACAGGAGCCACACAAAATATGAAACTCAAAGAAGGTCCAGATGGTTGAAGCTTAAATGCCCTCCTCACAGAAGAGAGGGAAGTGGGAGGAAAAGTAAATAAGTTTTAGGGGACATGAGTAGGCATAAGAGCAGATAGTAGCCTGGGACAAAGTTTCCTTAGGCCCTGGGTAAGGAGAAGAAGGTGGCCTGCAGAACTGCACTGTGAAAGAAGGTTGTTATATTATGCAGATAAAGTATCTCAGGTCACTGCCCTTAGAAGAAGAGTTGAAAGAATGGCTGAAAAGTCTGTCCTGTGTGGTGTCCTGGATATGGAGACTTTTAGTTTTCTCTTCTGGGATGCATGTTAATCTTCTCTGGTTTATGTAGACTACAGGGAGGAGGCCCAAGACAATTGCATTCCCTCTGGATAAACTTCCCTCAGCCAGATAAGGGAACTTCAGAGACAGCCCCTGCACTTCAGAAGGGAAGGGTAGGAGATGGTCAAAGGGAGAATTTAGTTCTGAGGCTTATTTTAGAGGCCTTGCAATCTCCTTTGTTCAAAGCACTCAGTATGCCAAAGCAGCATTATTTCGTAGTATTGTTTTCTGAGCCCCAACAATTTCTTAGCTCCCCCTTAAATCTGTAGTTTATATTTTCAACTTGTGGAAGAATTGGAAGACTAGTACAATAAACACACAAACATCTTGCACTAGCTCACCAATTAACATTGAGCCACATATGTGCTTTTTTCTCTTTTCATTGCTGTTATTTACAATTTATTTTCTTAAAGCATATGCATGTATGCACATGCGCACACATATACACATGCACACACATATACACATACACACACATTCACACATAAATATTTGGCAGATGTCTTCTAAGAACAAAAACATTCTACCATATAATAACAATTCCATCATCACAAACAAGAAATTTAATCATGATACAACAACATTCTCTAGTTTATAGATCATATCCAAGAGTTCCAATGATGTCAGGGTCCAAATTGGGATCACTCATTTCATTTAGTCTCCTTTAACCCAAGACAGTCTTCAAACTTTGTTTAATAGTTCATGTCATGGATATTTTTGAAGAATCAAAGTCAATCTCTTTATTGCTCTCATTGTCCTCTGAATGTAAACCAAAAATAAAATTCTAAGCCCCCAGCCAACTAGATAGACCCTTTCTCTTGGTCAAGGTCATTCTAAAGTAAACCTGAAACACTAGCTCAGGCCATGATAAGAATGAATGGTAGGACACGCCTTATTATAATCTCTTTCCTTTGGAATTCACGCACAGCTAACCAGCATGAACATTAAAACAGAGACCTTAAGACTAACCAAACAGATTCTTTGTAGCAATAAGAAACCAACATGACAGATAACAGATCCTGAAAGAAGCATTTCAGGAGTATTTTACACCCCAAATGTATTGTTTTGACATATTTTGAAATGGCCCTGTAAAGCTAAACATTTACAATCTATTTTCTCTGAAGCCTGCTCCTGGAAGCTCCATCTACATACTAAGATTCTTGGTGTCCACAGCCCCTTATCTTAACCCAGACACTCCCTTCTATTGATTCCAAGGCTTTAGATAAACTCTTAACCAATTGCCAATCAGGAAATCTTTGCATTAATCTATGACCTGGAAGCCCCCTGCTTCCAGTTGTCCCACCTTTCTAGACTGAACCAATGTACATCTCATGTATATATTAATTGATGTCTATGTCTCCCTAAAATGCAAGGTGTAGCTCAACCACCTTGGGCATATGTTCTCAGGATCTCCTGGGGCTGTGTCACAGGCCATGGTCACTCACATTTAGCTCAAAATAAATCTCTTCAAATATTTTACAGAGGTTGACTCTTTTCATCAACACATGATTGGATAAAGCTTAACCTTTTCTGGCAAGAGAGCTTCATGTATGCTTTCAATTAGTTTTCATTATATCCCATCAGGAAGCTCAGCAGGTCAGTGCACCAAGTTATTAGTGACGTTGAGTTTGATCATTTGGCTACAATGGTATCCACAGGATATTTTATGTTAAAACTACCTTTTCCCCTTTGTAATTGACAGGCACCTCAAAGTAACTCTGAAACTGTGTGAGCATCTTTCTTTATCAGCTTTTCCCCAAATGATCCTGCAGATAAAGTGTACACTGTGTTTGGGTTGTGTAAAGCCTTCTGGAAAGACTCTTCTGAGATTCTATTCCAGTGGTTCCAAGATCCCAAAACTGAAAGACACAGTGACGGACAACATCAGAAATTATTGTCAATATTAGCCTCATGTGGTGGCACATACCTGTAGTCCCAGCTACTCAGGAGGCTAAAGCAGGAGAATCATTTGAGCCTAGGGGTTCAAGACTGCAGCAAGCCACGATTGTGCTACTGCACTCCAGCCAGAGCAACAGAGAGAAAGAGACCCCGTCTCTAAAAACAAAGAAACAAACAAACAAATAAATATCACTTTTTTTTTTGTAACAAACTTCAATCCATGTATACAGTCCTCTGATACTACAGGAAATCAACTCCTGTACATTCCTCCTAGTGATTGTTTAAGAACAGCAGTCTTTTAGAACCACAAGAAGCTAAGGATTATGGTGATAATTGATCTACTTCTATGCAAATAAAGTACTTCTATGTAAACACTTTTTCTATGGTGCATCCTTTTTGTATTTAAATATACAAATATATATATATATATATATATATATATATATATATATATATATATACACACATACACACACAGATATACTCCAAATATATCACGTTAATTTTTGGCTAGTTCACATTTTATAGGATATGAGTTAGTTCATTCAGCCAAATCATTTGACTAACTTCTGCTAAGAATTTATCGACAAGAGTCTGTTTATTTCTAGTACAAATCAGCATACAATAAATGTCATAGGCTTATAACTGGGATGTTAGTTTTGTTATTATAATTCAAAAATGTATTTTTATAATGCTGTAATTGCCCGATAATTCTTCCTTTCTGCTGCACAGGGAAAATCAGTTCACTGAGATAGTGGTATTACAGCAAAAAAAGAGCTTAATTGATATGAGGCCAGCCCTGTGGAAGAACTGGACTTATCACTCAAATCAGTCTCCCCAAAGGTTCGGAGGTTAGGATTTTTCAAGGATGGTTTGGTGGGCAGGAGGCTAGGGAATGGATGTTGACGACTGGTTGTGGATGCAATCATAGTGGTGTGAAAAATGGTCCTCATGCTCCCAGTCAGCCTCTCAGTGGTTGGGGGAGGGGCACAAGACTGAGTAAAGAGTTGAGTGTCCTGGTGGAGTTATCCGGTAATCAGAAACGCAAAAGTCTGAAAATACGTCTCAAAAGGCCAATCTTAGGTTTGGTAATAGTGATGTTATCTACAGGAGTAATTAGGGAAGTTAAAAATCTTGTGACCTCTGGAACAATGGCCAGTTATTGTATAACAATGCCTACATCTTAGCAGAATTCAGGCCCCTTGTATAACCCTAACCTTATGGTCTTTTATTACTTTTATAAAAGTGGTTTAGTTTTGGGAAGAACTATTATCATCCTTGCTTTAAGGTTAAACTATAAACTTAATTCCTCCCAAAGTTAGCTTGGCTTACACCCAGGAATCACCAAGGACAGCTGGGATGTTGGAAGCAAAATGGAGTCAACTAGGTCAAATTCCTCTTCCTGTCATAATTTTGAAAAGGCAGTTTCAATGCCTACATTTTCACACAATGAAAGCTCTCAATCTTCTATTAAACTAAAAATGCTAGGATTAATGAACACTGCCTATAAAACTCCCATGCCTTAGTGCATTTTTTTCTTACATACATAATGTAAGAAAAATTAAAGTGTGATCATCCAAATACATTTCAGAACACATTAGCAATACATGTTTATGAATGAAACTCATAAGCTATATAAATCAGTAAGTCATTTTACATTGCTACTATGAAATTCTGATTTATTTGTTTCATTTTTAGCTATAAAATGTATCAATTTTAATATATCATCCCAATGTTTATGTTAATCTTAACCAACACTTGTATATTAAGTAACTAATATTTTATTTCAATGAAAGCATCAAAGAATGTAAAAATAACCTGTGGAGGACACATTGAGACCATGTGAACATCCCTTTCCTTATCAAACTTTCATCCAGTGGCAATCATTATTTTCTGATGTTGCAACATGCAAGAATATCTCAGTCTCTTGTGAGGGCATCATGATTCATTTTACTAATATATTATTAGACTATTAAAAGATGTGTTACGTGTAATGAATCAAATCTGACTCAAGTTTCTGGATAATGATGTAACTCTTCATTTACTTCTACTTTTATATACTCACGAGGCTGTTTTGGACTTATCTCTATTTCTTGCTGCGAAAAAAAAACATGCTTCTGAATGCTACAAATTAATTATGGGATATGCCTGAAGCTGCAGTGGCACCCATTAGATTTACATTAAGGCAGCAGGCATTAAAAGAATCACTAAATATTAGGTTGAACAGTACAAAATGGTAAACTACAAAAATGGCAGTTTCATTTAAGGCTGACTGATTCATTTGTGTTCCCGAGTTTAATGCACATATACACAGACACAGATGCACCCCCCACATACACACTCACCACATCCTTCTCTCCAGGCCCAAGCATACAATACTATCTCAACTCTGTTTTCTAATTATCTCCACAGCTAGACTGTAGGAAAGAAGTCAGTGTCTTCTATAAAAGGACAAAGCAAACAAAAATACCTAAATAAAAAATAAAAAGTAAATCAATCCACAATTTCCAGGTACACAATAAAGTATAATCAATCAAATACAAATGATAGTTTTAAGAACCATAATTTTGAAATTGAATGATACAATGACCATGTATAACATATTACAGAAAGTGTGTAAGGAACTCTTTTTCATCATCTAACTTATTGGAGAAATAATAACACTCAAATCTCAAATCTCTCAGCTGTTAGTGAAGTTAAGAGACTTTTATCCTTGTCTTCCCAAATTATTTTAGGGATGAAATTTTGAAGTTCTATCTTAAATTTCTGTGATAAATGGCTTTATAATTGGAGTATTTTATTCATTCTCAATGGCTTATGAAATACTATGATGACCTGTCAAAAATACACCATGTACTCTAAGATTGTAGTGGTATGATATATCTTTCGATCTTAGTGAAAGTTTTGTTCTTATGTGTATTACCAGAAAACGGGTTTTGTGTTCAAAAAGCAGTTCTATTGAAAATCGCTTTAATTCATAGAAATAGGGACAGAGCAAGAGAAAAGAGCAGGGCTTTATGGTGTGGCTTTTAGGAGCAGGTCTCTCTAGTTTTACTACAGTTGCCTGTCTAAACTTTTTTCCTCAAGGCTGCTGAACCAAAGATTACATGTTGGCAAAACTAAAAGATACTAGAAAGGGTTAAAGAAAGAGTTCACTGCTTTCAATGTGTAGGGCCGAATAAAATGAAAAATAGGAGAAGAAAAGAAGTTGAGTCAACCTTTGAAATTGCTATTCATTGTGAAACCAACTACCACCACCATCACCATCCAAAGCAAGTGCTTATTACTATTATTTTAAAGTGAAGACTAACAATTAGTGAAATGATTTTGAATGACTATACTTGCTTCAGGCAAAGTTACTGCAGAAAACAAACTTCCCTCAGCAAGCTTTCTAAAGCAGCTTGTACTACTTACATGTATCCAAATATATCTCAATTTAATGACTGGTAACAACATTATTTGCATGCAACTTAACCTACACAAAGAGTTAATTATTATGTTTATTTAAATATTTAATGTTTACTATAGCTAGTTTTTTTTTTTTTAGTTAGCTAAATTTATGGGACAAGTGAATTTTAATTCTGGTAGTGTAATTAGTATATTTATAACAGTACAGTTTGTCCATAATATTGCAGCATTCAAGAATGTCTCTACCACATTTGAAGACATCAATAGTTGTTTTGCCAGTTGTGATAGACTTCCAGAGTTTTTATTCATTTATTCTTTTTTTTTTTTTTTTTTGAGACAGAGTTTTGCTTTTGTTGCCCAGGTTGGAATGCAATGGCGCAATCTCTGCTCACCGCAACCTCTGCTTCCTGGGTTCAAGCGATTCTCCTGCCTCAGCCTCCTGAGTAGCTAGGATTACAGGCATGTGCCACCATGCCCGGCTAATTTTGTATTTTTAGTAGAGGCAGGGTTTCTCCATGTTGGTCAGGCTGGTCTCGAACTCCCAACCTCGAGTTTAATGGCTCACAGAGATTCATACGTTTCTCTATAATAATGTAGCTTTTACTCCTCTGTATTTTACTATCTCCGAGTGAAAAAGAAAAGAAGTAGAGTGTAGTTATTCTAATGGGCATTGCAATAACACAGACTGCTATCTGTAGCCCTGAAAGACATCGTTATTTATGAACATAAACACTTCTAAACTAAGTGTTAAACTGATTTAGTGCCCTAATGGTTTTAACTTCATCTGAATGTGCCTGGTCCATGCAAATGTATATCTTCTAATGGTTTCATCACAGCAGAATAAATTCTGAGAATTATTTTTTATAGCACGAGTCTACAAATATTCACCAAGGTTAGAAATATATGTTCACTTATCAGAAGCTTGAATTTGTGTAAGTTATTTTCACAATAATCATCTCATCTGTTAGATAATAATCTGATAAAATAAACAAAGGCTGCAATTTCTATAAACATTTGAGAAATCTGAAAATCTCTTTTAGGGCCTACCTTTACTATTTTAAAACATTATCTTGGATAAATATCTGTCAATACATATTTTCTTTTCAGGAGAGTGTACTTACAGAAAAATTCTATAATCTTTTGTTAACACAATTTAAAATACTGTTTCCAGGAATGAATTATGCCAAAAGTGAAAAATTGCCATTCCCTAAATATACTTAAATTTGGGCAAAATTGCATGTATGTATGTGTACATATGTGTGCATATACTCTAGATTTATATACTCTTTTGTCCTAATGGATGGATAGAAACACACACAGATACACACACCCGCACACACACACACACAGACACATAGAAAGAGAAAAAGAGAGAGGTGATTACATAAATATACAAGGGTAGGACATAAATTGTAAGCATTTGTAAAGGTACACAGATTACTTCAAAAGAGTAAACAGTACTGCATTAGGCCCCAAAGAGAACTTCTATATATGTTAGATTGCTCTGGTAGTGCAATCAGCTTTATAATGACTAATGAAGTTAAGTCAAAAAATTATCTGTAAACCATAGGAACCATTAACAGTTCTGCTATTTGCATCCTTACATCTTTAATGGTTAATTCCAAAGAATTCTCAGTGGAGGCAATAGTCATTAAATATATTATCTGAATCATTATCTGCAACCTGCTGATAACCAAAAGCTAAAAATCCCACAGTGATGACATGAACCCATATAAACACAGCAATCTCATTTTCATTAAGCCATTCCTTAGAAATGTGTAATGTACTTATTTTAGAAGAGAGCCAAGAACTAGCTAAAACATAAACGAAGTAATTTTTATGGGTTATTTTTATTTTATCTCTTAAATAATTTCAGCATGTTTTTTAGTGGGCATTTTTTCAAAAAGAAGAAGAGGTAGTTATGCATTGAAGTACCTATAATTAATCTATTTGAATGCAAGGTTTTTTAAATAAATATATTGTAATACAGACTAAAGTTAGAGCTGACCGTACAAGTTATTAAAGGAGGCTATCAACATTGTGTCATAATGGAATTCTCTTTGATAGAATCGTTATTAAAAATGTATTTTTCTCAATCATCTGGCCAAATCTCTGAACTCTCACCATGAAATGTTCTTTTTGATTAGAGCAATGACAAAGCAGAATTTTTTTGTTGACTATAAATCACTAGCTTGGAAGCTAAATACCGATGCCTGAGCCAGGGAAATGTTATCCACTGGGCCACAATAAAATCACCACAGGAACTTGGGAAGCAACAAGTTGGTCAGGCATCACTTTCCTAGGGAATATGGTTGCAGAAGGTGAGGTCAGCTGCAAACTCCTAGTAATAGAAGAGTGACTTAGAAGAGAAGACAAAAAGAAAATTAATCAGAAACTGTGTTATACCAAGTACAGCCAAAAACATCTTTAGCTTATTTAATATTTCAAAGTTACATGATCTCTTTCAAGACATTATCGTGTGTGTAAGGCCAGTGATAGGAAAAGAGACAAACTGTATTGGTATTGCATTGTTCCTTTATAATAAGAGGTCAATAAATTTTTTTTTTTTTGAGACAGAGTTTCACTCTTGTTGCCCAGGCTGGAGTGCAGTGGCGTGATCTCAGCTCACTGCAACCTCCGACTCCCGGGTTCAAGCGATTCTCCTGCCTCCGCCTCCCAAGTAGCTGGGATTACAGGTACCTGCCACCACACCCAGCTAATTTTTTGTATTTTTAGTAGAGATGGGGTTTCACCATGTTGGGCAGGCTGGTCTTGAACTCCTGACCTTAGGTGATCCTCCTGCCTCAGCCTCCCAAAGTGCTGGGATTACAGGTGTGAGCCACTGCGCCCGGCCAGAGGTCAATAAAATTTATCAAAAACATCTCTGCTCAATATTAATAGCAGACATTCAATGGTAGAATTACCAACCAGTTTCCATCATCTGTGAAAATGATTACCGATTTCTGGCCTGAAGACACCCGAAAAGCAGCAAATATGTAAGAAGCAGTTGAGGCTCTCCATGTCCTTACGCACAGCAGTCAGATAAATAACTTGCCAAAAACCTGTTTTTAAACATGATCTTATGGCTATTAGTGCCTTCTTTAATAGTAAATACACTGAATTTTTTAAACATTTTGTTTTTATCTGACACATTATAATTGTATATATGTATGGGGTACAGTGTGATATTTCGATAGATATATACATTGTGCAACGTATCAGGGTAACTAGCATATCCGTCACCTCAAACACTTGTCATTTCTTTGTGGTGAGAACATTCAAAATCCTCTCCTCTAATTATATTAAATTAAGTGTTGCTGAGTTTACAGTAACTTTTGGTCATACGTTTTCTCACAACAGAGAGTAAAATAAAGTACTCTCAGCCGGGCGGGGTGGCTCATGCCTGTAATCCCAGCACTTGGGGAGGCCAAGGTGGGTGGATCACGAGGTCAGGAGTAGGAGACCTGTCTGACCAACATGGTGAAACCCCGTCTCTACTTAAAATACAAAAACAAAAACAAACAAACAAAAAATACAAAAACGGTGGCACGTGCCTATAATTTCAGCTACTCGGGAGGCTGAGGCAGGAGAATCGCTTGAACCTGGGAGGTGGAGGTCGCAGTGAGCGGAGATCGCGCCATTGCACTCCAGCCTGGGGGACAAAAGAGAGACTTCGCCTCAAAAAAAAAAAAATTCTCTCATGTAGTTGGTTTAATGAATGGTTTGAGGTTAAAAGTGTCTGCAGAACTTGTAAAACATGAAACCGCTGCTCTTCATATTGAATATATAGTCTTAAACAGAGCACACCAGGCTCTCATAAGTTTATACAAACTGGGATGAAAATAAGAATGGAAGAAAGGAAGGCATCGCTACAAGTATTAAAATAGAATTTGGAACTACCTTTTGAATTTAGTAGCAGAAAAATGAATTCAACTTCCTCCGTTGATGCTTCTTTCCATAGAATTTACTTAAGTAAGAAGAGACAGAATGGCCAATCAAAGACTTCATATCCTTCCTAAACCTGTGAAGCCTTTAGGAAAGCAGTTTCTTGGCACGCCAATCAAAATCTACTAAGTATAATTGTGAAACGCCCTCCTGAGTAAAATATCTTCATTTCTAGATCTTATTTGTAAGTGAACTCTACTGCATAGGTCATATGTTACTTATCTATTACAGTAAATATTATTTGAATACTTAATGACAGGTGATCTAAAATGGTATTTAAAACTGGTTTCGTCGAGAGATTAATGCAAGTCAATAATAATTTTATTTCAAAAGTAACAAGAAGAATAAGTCCTCTAAGATTATTTGAAATGGCATTCATCTTTAAATAAAATCCAAAGATCAAAATAATGAATTTTAAATAGTCTGCTAAAATTCTGAAACACTTTTATCAAAGCACTTTTTAAATCTGGTTTCTATTCGGTTGGAATAGTGAAAATGTTCATGCTGTAGGTAAAGGTTAAAAAATTAAATGCTGAAATTAAATAAAATTAAGGATATTAAAATAAGATCGTTCAGTATATTTAATAAAATAATTAAATAAGGAATGGAAGAAGTATAGCTAGTTTTACCTTAGATGGAAATTTATAAACAGAGCAAAATATTTCCATTAGTAGTGCCATATTCTACCTTTATTTTTAACCCGAAGGAAGTCAATGAATTATGATTTCTTATAACACATCTAGTAAGCATAAAAAGTAAGGCTGAATTTTTCTTATGTGAAATGCCCCATACTATAGAAAACCATAGTTATAGAGAACTAATAACTAAAATATTTAAACCCATGCTATGATTAAGAAGAGATACATTAGACCCTTGGTGTGCTAGTAACATTCTATTTCTTGACCAGAGTTGTGGATCCAAGAGCATTTACTTTACATTGGTTTGTTAAAATATTCAAATAAGTTTTATATCATTTTCTTTATTTTGCTTCCAAAAAAACTTTTAAAAGCAATAAACTGTAATAACAAAAAAACTGACTTGTAAACCAAAATGCCTTCAAGATCATATTCCTGTGATACTTGAAAATTAAAACTGATATGGCTTCCACTAAATATAAATTTAGAAATAATTGAAAATTTCTTTTAATCAAGTAAATGTTTTCTGAAATACTCCTGAGATTTCCCACTGCCTACCTTTTAGCAACCATCATGCTAAAATTCAAGATGTCTCCTTGATCATGGGCAGCAGATCTGAGCTAAAAATGGTGTCCACAAGATGAAAACATCCTAAAGAACAGCTGTTCTTAATCAGTGAAGGGCGCTTTGAGTATCTCAAAAGTTGTTTTTCACTATCCGGTAGGGTCCCTTAGAGGTATATGACTCACTTTACATACTGATTATAAGTATATTTTTAATCCAAACATCCCAGAAAATCATACAGAGAGTGGATATTAATTTACCTACATTACACTTATTAAGCTGTTGCGAGCATTAGTGCATTCACACTCCAAGTGATTTGACTCTGGGGGTGATTCATTCTCTGCTAGTGTTCTCAATATGATGCAGGTTTCTACCTCCTTCAAAAAAAGCAGGAAGAAGCACGTGTAAAATACTTTTAAAATACTAAATTCTGACCTATTATACCCAGGTACAACCTTCACAAATACCTAAGTATATACTGAATACATCTAGGATCAACTTCCATTGATTTCTTGTTTCTAGTTTAGTTTTATAAAGCTTTTTTTTTAAATAGTAAGATTTCGCTTTACAAAAGTGGCAATTCCTGATCATATTAATGAGACAAGCATAACAAGCTTTATTATGCATCAAAAGTGTTTATAATGTTATACAAGGCTAACAAAATGCTTCTGTAGTATAGATAAACACAGTATGATTATAAGTTTTAATATCAGATCTGCACATTCTAAAATACATTTTCATCAGAAAATGTTCAGCACATTTATGATAAACACCAAGTATTGATTTAGCTTTAAAATTATAATGGGATGGTTAAAACCTACTAATGAGTAAAGTATAATTTATACTTTGTTTATTCTTTAAACTATGTCTAAACTCACATATCGTTATCTGTGTATACACGGTTCCTTTTTATTGTTACCTGCTTCAAAGTAAGAATGTGTAGATGATTCAGTATTTTAAAACCAGCAACTTCCTAAAGTAAACAATAGATGCCTACTTTCTTTTTACAAAAAGGCCAAAAATTCAGCTAAACCATATCTTACCCTTGATTAGAAAGACTGCTAATTATTATAGGTTTTAAGGGGACAACTTAATCAGGCACTACCTAGTAGTTTGTGTACCAAGCAATTCATAGAATAGACACTTCAGTGGCAGCTTTTCTGTTAATGACATTGAGGCTTTTGAACACCAACCAATTACAAATGTGCAGGACCACTGCTCCTGATGTCATAACCATAATAACTATGTTCTTTATACATACAATTATGTTTCTTAGAAAAAAAGAGTGATATTAAAAAAATTAACTTCCAATACCAATGAATCCTACAACGTATAAGGAACTACAGATAAATAGTACAGGCTCCTGAAGGACCTCTGCCATGCCAGGGCATAGCCCTTTAGTCACTAGGTCCTGAATGCATCCAAAATCCAGAAGGAGTGTTTGATGCAGCTCAGGCACTGGATGTGGGCACTGATGACAGTGGCTGCTTATCAACCTGCATAGAAGTACAAAGATTTTAATTTATTTTTAGAAGCTTTTTCTAAAACTTTCAAGATTTCATCCACTGGTTAGGACATACCATGGTGTGCCCTCTGATCACTAGCACTGATTTTAGTTCAAGCTTGTCTACCAGACATTCCTGCATTATTATTACTGTACATTTCTAATTTGCCTATCATTTAGAACATGAGTGGTTTAGCCTCCATTAAAACACCAATGTTTTAGTATACATGTAATGAATATTATACCACATAGCATAAAATGACTTGAAAATAATTTTATTCAATTTTCTTAATAAACTGACTATTTAATGGCAATAAAATTATGGTTGCTAAAATTGTTTCCCATGTGTTATAGGTTAGCAATACCAAAAACACTACACATGTAAACTAAATTTAATAATTAAATAAGTGGATGGCGGATGATAAATACAGGTTTCTCAGTGTTGGAATGGGAGGTTACAGACAGGCAAGGGACAAAGGCTAGAATTAGCCATGTGATACTGGATTAGAATTGGAGATATTAGAAAGAACTTATGTTTAGCTTAAAATAGTTATAGGTTGATTCATACATTAATATTTATAGGTATATTCATATGTAGGCATTGGTATAGGCACATATATTTTCTTGCTCTGTCAGCTGAAAAGGTCTAAAAGCATTGACACCACCAAGCAATGAACACACCTACAACTCATTCTCCAATAAATAATTACATTCTCCAATAAGAGGAACTAGAGTTTCTTAGAGAAATGGCTGGCTGATCTTGAACTGGAACAAAAAATATGCCTTATGAACAGGAAGTATCTTATAGTGATACAAAGTAAAGAAGCACAGTATTCAAAAATAGCAACAAAGGGAAGGGCATTAGAAAGAAACACAGGAGCCAGTATAAAGAGTTTCCAGCCGGGCGCGGTGGCTCATGCCTGTAATTCCAGCACTTTGGGAGGCCGAGGAGGGCGGATCACGAGGTCAGAAGATCGAGACCATCCTGGCTAACACGGTGAGACCCCCCCGTCTCTACTAAAAATACAAAAAATTAGCCAGGCATGTTGGCAGGCTCCTGTAGTCCCAGCTACTCGGGAGGCTGAGGCAGGAGAATGGCATGAACCTGGGAGGCAGAGCTTGCAGTGAGCCAAGATAGCACCACTGCACTCCAGCCTGGGCCACAGAGCAAGACTCCGTCTCAGAAAAAAAAAAAAAAAAAAAAAACAACACAAAGAGTTTCCAATGACCAAATCTGGGACAATTTGAAGGATGAAATGAAGTAGTGTAAAATTATACCTAATTATGTAAAATAAATGTTAGAGTTCATAGTGATTTATGTTTTTGAATAAATGAAAAATAAACAGGATAATAGACAAATCTCCACTGAACAACAGTTTTGAATAATATATGTAGAGAGTATCCTGAATGTAGAGACAGTGTTTGATGTACACCTCTGCCTGCGCACTGAGAATAGCCAGTTGGCCCTGTGCTGCAATAAGCATGTGGCTGAGTTTCTCATGCATGAGATAAGTTTCTTCCGTGGACTAAACAATTTAGACAACTGATGAAGGAAATGCAGATTCACCATGAAGTCTCACAAAATTAGTTCAAAATAATGCTTTCTGTGATATTGTTATAAAAATGAATACCAAACAGATTTATGCAATGAAAATCCTCAGCAAGTGGAAGACGCTTTAAAAAGCAGAGAATGGGCGGGGGTCGTGGCTCACACCTGTAATCCCAGCACTTTGGGAGGCCGAGGCAGGTGGATCACCTGAGGTCAGGAGTTCGAGACCAGCCTGGCCAACATGGTGAAACCCCATCTTTACTAAAAATACAAAAATTAGCCAGGTGTGGTGGTGCACACCTGTAATCCCAGCTACTCGGGAGGCTGAGGCAGGAGAATCACTTGGACCTGGGAGGCAGAGGTTGCAGTGAGCTGAGATCTTGCCACTGCACTCCAGCCTGGGCAACAGAGCGAGACTCCATCTCAAACAAACAAACAAACACAGAGAACGCTCATTTCCAAGGAGAACTTGATGTGTTGGTAAATTGTGATCAACAGTAGATCACTTCATGCTTTTCATCTCAAAAAGGATTTTTCAAGATGCTTGAAATGTTCATGCTTTCAAAATGAAAATCATTTGTACTTAGTAATGCATTACTATGTGAATGATGATTTACTGGCCCTGGTTAGTAAATCTGAAGGCAATCTTCTGAATTATTTGGCAAGATTCTACATTGAGGAAGTGGTGTTAGCCATCAACTTTACTATGTGCACAGAAACGTTAAACCTGATAATGTTATTTTGAGTATAAAAGTTCAGGCCAGGCATGGTGGCTCACGCTTGTAATTCCGGCACTTTGGGAGGCCGAGGAGGGCAGATCACCTGAGGTCGGGAGTTCAAGACCAGCTTGACCAACATGGAGAAACCCTGTCTCTACTAAAAATGCAAAATTAGCTGGGCATGGTAGCACATGCCTGTAATCCCAGCTATTCGGGAGGCTGAGGCAGGAGAATTGCTTGAACCTGGGAGGTGGAGGTTGCAGTGAGCCAAGATCACACCATTGCACTCTAGCCTGGGCAAAAAGGGCAAAACTCCATCTCAAAAAAAAAAAATTAGTTCATATTTTCCTGGCTGACCCTTGGTTATGACTGAAGATAAATGATGAACTGTTTGGTCTCCCATGGCCATTAACATACTTAACTACATAACACCTGAGATTCTATAAGCAATGGAAGATAGCATGGGAAAATACAGCCCAGAATATGACTTTTTTTTTTTCTTGGTGTTGTTGGGGCTCAGAAAACTATGCCCCAAAATGAAGGCTTCAGAAGCAGCCTCAGAAGAGAAAGTTTTTTTCTGACCTTCTCCTGCTCTACTGTCTTTCACTCCTTTTCTCCACAGAGGCTAGCTGTAGAAATCAGAATTCCTCTACCCCAAGGTGGATTTTAGCAATCAAAACCCCTTTTCCCTACAACCAGCCATAAAACCTGAAAATATTACTCTAATTTTCCCTCCACCTTTCTTTGTAAAAACTGGCCATAAATTATCTGACATACATTGACTGTAGGTCGTAAGACCCGCATTCCAGAGAGTGCTCTGCCCCACACCCAGAAGAAAAGAATGCATGCTCAGAGAGGAGAATCTAGGCATACAGGCCTTGCTGGGTTTCCTCACTCAGTATTAGATTATGCCCTTTTTGTCCAACCATATTTTTACACAACTGTTCATACTTTATTGAACCTAAGCATAAAAATAGATATTTTCCCCTCTATCTTTGGTTCTTCACTGATATGGTTTGGCTCTGTGTCCCCACCCAAATCTCATCTTGTAGCTCCCGTAATTCCCACGTGTTGTGGGAGGGGCTCAGTGGGAGATGACTGAATTATGAGGGCGTGTCTTTCCTGGGCTGTTCTCTTGATAGTGAATGGGTCTCATGAGATCCTATGGTTTTTTTTTTTTCTTTTTTTTTTTTGAGATGGAGTCTCACTTTGTTGCCCAGGCTGGAGTGCAGTGGCATGATCTCAGCTCATTGCAACCTCTGCCTCCTAGGTTCAAGCAATTCTCCTGCCTCAGCCTCCCAAGTAGCTGGGATTACAGGCACATGCCACCATGCCTGGCTAATTTTTGTATTTTTGGTAAAGATGGGATTTCACTGTGTTGGTCAGGCTGGTCTCAAACTCCTGACCTCGTGATCCGCCCACCTTGACCTCCCAAAGTGTTGGGATTACAGGCATGAGCCACCATGCATGGCTGAGATCCTATGGTTTTAAAAATGGGAATTGCCTTGCAAAAGCTCTCTCTTTGCCTGCCACCATCCATGTAAGATGTGACTTGCTCCTTCTTGCCTTCCACCGTGATTGTGAGGCCTTTCCAGCCATGTGGGTCCGTAAGTCCATTAAACCTCTTTCTTTTGTAAATTGTCCACTCTCAGGTATGTCTTTATCAGCAGCATGAAAACAGACTAATACATTCACTCTGAAGGCTCCCGGGTATATACGTTAAATATATCTGTATGCCTTTTCTCCTATTAATCTGTCTTTTTTGAGTTAATTTTTTAGCAAAACTTCAGAAGGTGAAGAGGAGCTTTCCCATTGGCCCAAAGTGTCTGTATGTGTAATTGCTACATGGAGGAACAGTTTTATACATAATCATTAATGAAAACTGAAGTAAAGATCATGGACCTAAAAGAACAATTTCAATTCCCTTATCACATCATGGTTGTACCTGTAGAAGCCAGAGAGACATTATTCACAGACTCATCTTCAGAAGAGAGTGTAATCTAGGGCAAAATGAAATTAAGGATTTCAAAAGCATGCATTTTTTGAAGATACAAATTGAGAAAATATACAAGAGCTATAATCAACTTGTGTTTTGGATGTTAGCAATTCTTCTAACACACCCCAACTTTGATATGTATGATGTGTAAAGAAATACTGAAATTCTGCCTTCTTTTTCTTTTACAGTATTTTTCAATTACATTTATCATTCATTGGTTTTACATGCACAATAAAAAAGTGTTTTTTTCCAATTAAGGCTCTCTAAAGAACATGATGCAGTCCAATAAGTACATTAATCACAAATGAGGATGTGCAGCAGAATTGCAGAATTTAGAGAACAGCTTTTGAATTGAAGATTATGTAAGAATAATAAGAACCCTAGCAAGATAAACCAGAACTAAGTAGGAAATGACAAGAATGCACACAGACCTAATAGCCCTTTCCTTGTCCATCTTGTATCATAGAGAATTCAAACCAAGATAAAGAAATTTTATAAATTAAATGAAGATAAAATATAGATGGATAAATAAATTATAGATGAAATAGTTGATTCAATGGGTTCAGGGACAGCTTGAGGATACAGCAACATTTTCCTAAGAACATGGAGATTCCACATCTAGACTGAAGAGAATAGAATAGCAGTACCACACTGTGAGGTCATGTACTCATTGAGCTGTGAGAACTCCAGAAGGACCAAATTTTGCTAATGATGGGTATTTTTTAGTACTTTCACATTCAGACAGCTGTAAATCCCAGGCCAAATGATTCAAAGATGTCTATCAGTAGCAAAAGCTGGCCCTTCAGGAGTTCTCACAGCTCATTGAGTGCATGGCAGAATCCTGTTCCCAAAAGCAGATTTTTGAAAAGCTTAGTGACAAAGAGGAAGTGATGGAAGTGATTATGCAGGAAACTGACTTTATGAAATGGGAAATCCCCAAGTCTGAGATGTTTAGGAAAGTGCTGGAAGCTCAACTTGAGGATGTCATTGCTGAGACTTCAAAGGAACATAGACTTGGTGATCACAGACAGAACGTCTCTGAACAAACAGAATGTTAGCTTCAGGTCTCACAATAAAGCAAGAAAGCCAGTAACCAGGTGCCACTTTAGAATATCGCAAGATATTTCTAAAACAAAATAGTAATTTGAAGAGGAAGTATTACTTTATAAATAGAAATGTGTCAGACATGAGGCCTCTCGTGTTTTAGAAGCAAAAAAACATGCATAAGAGGAGCTGCATGTTTCAGAATGCCATTAGCAGCAAGATATATTAATGTTTAAGGAGAAATTATAAAAGTCTAAAGAAGAATGGCATAATGAAACAAAATGTGAGGCAGAAGACATGGTAAAAGTGTGTGTGTGTGTGTGTGTGTGTGTGTGTGTGTAGAATAAGGTATATGAAAAAGCAAGAGCAATAAGATGTGAAGAAAATGAGAAAATAACTGGTGAAAATGAAAGATTTGTTCTATTGTGGATAAATTAACAGCTCAAAATAGATAACATGAAAATGAGTTTAAGGATTTTGCAACTAAGAGTAGGCTGCCTGCTGGGAAGCTTAGACTGCAGAAACTACTCAGGAGGTCAGTGATGAGAAACATTCCCCCGAGATAGTTTCAAGTTCTTAATTCTAAAATGACCGAGCTCATGACTCCCAGTTCTAGTTTGATATAGACAGTGCTGGGTTCACTCTGGAAAGATCATATTCAGAAGTTAGATATGGCAATAGTGTTAGAATTACAATCTGCTCCTGAGATAGGCAACTGGGCCTGACAGCAAGGTTCCAAAACCTACCGGGTGAAGAAATGATGACAAAGGATTTATGTGTTGGTATGTGATTGTATATTATTTTTGAGCTTGCATAAATACAGTGCTTTATATAAACTTACATCCTTGAAGTAGCTACAAGAAATTGTAGATAAAGAATTGTTGATAATGATCTTTCAAATCCATCACAGTCATGAAAAACTTTTTTTTATTGTGGTAAAATATATATAACATAAAATTTACCATCTTAACTATTTTAAAGTGCATGATTCTATAGCATTAGGTATAGTCACATTGTTGTTTAACCATCACCACCACTCATCTTCAAAATATTTTTATCTTCCCCAGCTAAAACCTTCATACTACTTAAACAATAACTACTCATTGGCCTCTCCTCTCAAACCTTGGAAACCATCATTCTATTGTTTTATGAATTTGACTACTCTAGGTACCTCCTATAAGTGGAACCATACAATATGTATCTTTTTGTGACTGCTCATTTCATTTACTATAGTGTCATCAAGATTCATCTGTGTTGTAGCATGTATAAGAATTTTCTTTTTTTTAAGGCTGAATAATATGCTATTTTATGTATAAACCACATTTTGTATATGTATTCATCTGTTGGTGGACATTTGGTTTGCTTCTACCTTTTGGATATTGTGAATAATGATGTTATCCACATGGGTATAAAAATATCTGCCCAAGTTTATTCTTTCACCTCTTTTGTACATGTATGTACCCAGAAGTGGAATTGCTATATATACTAATTACGTTTAATTACTTTGAGGACCCATCATACTGTTTCTTATAGTGGCTATACCATTTTACTATCCTGCAAGCAATACACAGGGTTCCACTTTCTCCACATCCTTACTAACAAGGATGGGAAGGATGTATTTTATGTATTTGTTTTTAGTTTTTGTTGTTTTTGAGAGTAGCCTTTTTAATGAGTGTGAAGTGATATTTCATTATGGTTTGAATCTGTATTTCTCTAATGATTAGTGTTGTTAAACAACTTTCATATGTTTATAGGCCACTTTTATATTTTTGGAAAAATGTTTATTCAAGTCTTTTGCCCATTTTTATCTGTGTTGTTATTGTTGTTAAGTTGTAGGAGTACTTTTTTTTCCCACTTTTTTTATTATACTTTAAGTTTTAGAGTACATGTGCACAACGTGCAGGTTTGTTACATATGTATACATGTGCCATGTTGGTGTGCTGCACCCATTAACTCGTCATTTAGCATTAGGTATATCTCCTAATGCTATCCCTCCCCCCTCCCCCCACCCCACGACAGGCCCCGGAGTGTGATGTTCCCCTTCCTGTGTCCATGTGTTCTCATTGTTCAATTCCCACCTGTGAGTGAGAACATGCGGTGTTTGGTTTTTTGTCCTTGTGATAGTTTGCTGAGAATGATCGTTTCCAGCTTCATCCATGTCCCTACAAAGGACATGAACTCCTCATTTTTTATGGCTGCATAGTATTCCATGGTGTATATGTGCCACATTTTCTTAATCCAGTCTATCATTGTTGGACATTTGGGTTGGTTCCAAGTCTTTGCTATTGTGAATAGTGCTGCAATAAACATACGTGTGCATGTGTCTTTATAGCAGCACGATTTATAATCCTTTGGGTATATACATAGTAATGGGATGGCTGGGTCAAATGGTATTTCTAGCTCTAGATCCCTGAGGAATCTTTAATATATTCTGTATATTAAATCCTTATCAAATATATAATTTGCAAATGTTTTCTCTCATTTCATAGGTTGCCTTTTCACTCTGTTAATACTTTCCTTTGATGCACAAAAATTTCTACTTTTGATGGTGCCCAACCTATAAACTTTTTCTTTTGTTGCCTGTGCTTTTGATGTCATATCCAGGAAACAATTGCTATATCCCATATCATAGTTTTATATATGGTATAAGATAATGATGCAACAACTTCTTCTTCTCCTTGTCCTCCTCCTCTTCTAACTCTTCTGTGGGTATCCAATTTTCCCAACAGTATTTGTTGAAAAAATTGTTCTTTCCCTATTGAATTGTCTTGACATCTCTTATTGAAAACCATTTAATCTTGTATAATAGGATTTATTTGGAAGCTTTGTATTCTATTCCATTGGCATATATGTCTGTTATATTGCCAATACCACATTGTTTTGCTTTGTGTATCTTTGTAGTAAGTTTGGAAATCATGAAGTGTGAGACCTCAAATTTTGATCTTCTTTTTCAAGATTGCTTTGTCTACTTGGAGTCTGTTGAGATTCCATATGTATGTTAGGATGGATTTTTTTCTAATTTTGCAAAAAGAAACATTATTGGAATTTTGAAAGGATTGCATTGCATCTGAAGATCACTTTGGGTAGTACTTGCATCTTAAAATATTAAGTCTCTTAATTCATAAACACAAAAATATCTTTTCATTCATTTGTATCTTCTTTACTTTCTTTCAGTAGTTTTATAGTTTTTACATTACAAGTCCTTTACATCCTGGGTTAAGTTTATTTTAAATCATTTTATTCTTTTTGATATTGTTGTAGATGGAATTATTTTAATTTTCTTTTTGGATTCTTGAACTGTTAGTGTATATAAATGCAATTAGTTTTTTAGTGTTTATTGTGTATACTGCAACTTTGCTGAATTTGTTTATTAACTCCAAAAGTATTTGTGAAATCTTTAGGTCTTTCTATATACATGATCACCTCATCTGATAACAGAGATAATTTTACTTCTTCCTTTCCAATTTGCATGCCTTTTTAAATTTTTCTTGCTTAATTGCTCTGACTAGGATTTCTACTACAATGGTGAATAGCAGTGAAAGCAGGCATCCTAGTCTTGTTCCTGAGCTTATGGGGAAAGCTTCCACTCTTTCATCACTGGGTATAATTTTAGTCTTGGATTTTTTCATATACAATCTTTGTCATGTAGAAGAAATTTTCTTCTATTTCTAGTTTACAGTTTTTATCATGAAAGGGTATTGAATTTTGCCAAACACTTTTTCTGCAGCAACTGAGATTACTGACTGAATCCCTTTAATAGCTGTACTTCTGTTAGGATTTTCTATGTATTTATGATTCAATCCTGGTGGGCTGTGTTTTTCTTCGAGAATTTGTGTATTACATTTTGCTTATTTAATACATTGGCAAAGAATTGTTCATAGTGCTCTTATAAAATTCTTTTAATTTCCCTTTAAAATAGGTGGTAGTATAGTTTGAATATGTGTCCCTGCCCAAATCTCATACTGAAACGTAATTCCCAATGCTGGAGGTGGGGACTGGTGGGAGGTGCTTAGATCATGGGGGCAGTTTCTCATTAATGGTTTAGTACCATGCTCTTTGGTGCTGTCCTTGTGATACTGAGTAAGTTCTTGTGAGATCTGGTCGTTTAAAAGTGTGTAGCACATTCCCCCTTGTTCTCTTAATCATACTGTGGCTATGTGTCATGCCTGCTCTCCCTTTGACTTCTGCAATGATTGTAAGTTTCCTGAGGCCTCTTCAGAAGCTGAGCATGTGTCAGCATCATGCTTCCTGTACAGTCTTCAGAACTGTGAGCCAATTAAATCTCTTTTATTTATAAATTTTCCAGTCTCTGGTATTTCTTTAGAGCAATGCAGGAACAAACTAATACAGACAGTAATGCCTCTTCTTTGATTGCATACTTAAGTTGTTTGCGTAATCTCTCTTTTTGTCTTAGTTTAGCTGAAGATTTGTCATTTTGTTTGATCTTTTTCGAGAACCAACTCTTTGTTTTCTTGATTTTCTCTGTTGTTTTTCTATTTTCTATTGGATTTATTTCTGCTCTAATCTTTAATATTTCCTTCCTTCTGCTAACTTTTGGTTTAATTTATTATTATTTCTATTTCCTTAAAGTCTAAAATTAGGTTGTTACCTTGAGATATTTCTTCTTTTTTAATATAAGTGCTTCCAGTTTTAAGTTTTCCTCTTAGCACTGGTCTCACTGAATCCCATGAGTTTTGGGATTTGTGATTTCATTTTCATCTGATTCAAAATATTTTCTAATTCTCCTTTTGACTTATTTGAATCATTGTTTTTTATGAGCTTTAACCATTGGCTCTTTAAGAGTGTGTTGTTCAATTTCCGCATATTTGTGAATTTTTTTGTTTTTCTTCTGTTGCTGATTCTAGCTTTATTCCATTTGAAGAAGAAAATATACTTTGTATGACTTCAATCTTTTTATATGCATTTTTTTTTTCTTTGAGACAGAGTCTTGCTCTGTCGCCCAGGCTGGAGTGCAACGGCACAATCTCGGCTCAGTGCAACCTCTGCCTCCCAGGTTCAAGCAATTCTCCTGCCTCAGCCTCCCAAGTAGCTGGGATTACAGGTGCCCGCCACCAAGCCCCGCTAATTTTTGTATTTTTAGTAGAAATGGGGTTTCGCCATGTTGGCCAGGCTGTTCTTGAACTCCTGACCTCTGGTGATCTGTCTACCTTAGCCTCCCAAAGTGCTGGGATTACAGGTGTGAACCACCACATCCGGCTTTAAATGTATTAAGACTTGTTTTATGCCCTAGCATGTGGCCTATCCTGAAGAATGTTCCATGTGTACTTGAGAAAATGTATATTCTGCTGTTCTTGGGTGGAGTGTTCGCTATATGTTTGTTTAGTCTAATTGTTCTGTAGTCTTGTTCAGGTCCTATATTCTCTTATTGATCTTTCTGGTTTTTCTATTTTTTGTTTAAAGTAGGGTATTGAAATCTCCCACTATTATGGTAGAGTTGTCTCTTTATTCAATTTTGTAAACATTTGCTTCATATATTTAGGTACTGTAATACTTACATAAGTAATAGAAAAAAACATGAAAGAAAGAATGCTTTATTTTTTTAGTGATCCCACAGTCTTCGACTCAGACAAACCAGATGCAAATAAAGGCTGCAACTTAAAGCAAACACTAGTAGGTGTAGTTTGTCCTTTGTGACTTTACTATCCCAAAGTCTATCTCCACACTGAGGACATCATTACTTGCTCTATTTGGGTTGCTTTTTCTTTCTACCTCTATTGGCACCAAATAGAGTATATAAAGAGAACTTATTAGACATAATTTTACCATAGAATTGAGGAGTGTGCTTCTTGTATTTACATAAAGGAATTGAAAACTATGTTCATACAAAAACATCCATACAGATATTTATAGCAGCCTTATTCATAGTTGCTAAAACACAGAAGCAGCCAAGGTAGGTTGTGGTAGGTGAACGATAAACCATCGTAGATCCAGACAATAGAATATTATATAGTGCTAAAAAGAAATAAGCTATAAAATCATGAAAAGACATAAAAGAAACTTACATGTATATTACTAAGTGAAAGAAGTCAATCTAAGAAGACTACATACTGTATGATTCCAGCTATATGACATTCTGGACAAGATAAAACTATGGAGACAGTTAAAATATCAATGGTTGCCAGAGGTTAGTGGGGAGGAAGAGATATACAGAGAGCAGATGATTTTCAGAGCAGTGAAAATACTCTGTATTATACTAGAATGATACATACACATCATTATTCATTAGTCCAAACCCATAGAATGTACAAGAACCAAGAGGGTACTGTAATGTAAATTATGGACTTTGAGTGATAATGACATGTCAATCTAAGCTCATCAATTGTAACGAGTGTACTGCTCGGGTGTGGGATATTGATAGTAGGGGATGTTGATAGTGAGGAAAGCTGTACAAGTGTGGGGGCACAGAAACACCCGTGTCTTTTGGTTGATTTTGCTGTGAACCTAAAACTGCCCTGAAAAATCAAGCCCCCAAATTGCATTTGTTGAAAAATTTTTCTTTCCTACTACGCTGACCTTCATCAGCAAATGGCCCCTTGCTTACCCTAAATCTGGGACAGAGTACACATATGGATTGTCTACAATAAATATGAACTAATAGATTAAAAACAATAAATGAATTTAATTTATTTCATAACAATTCTGTGATAAAAAGGAAACTTCTGAGAAATTTCTTGCTGAAAGATGTCATTTGTCTCAATGAGATCAGAGGTGAAATACCTAAAGACAAGAAAAGTAAGATCAACTTTGGAGAGGTGAGAAGAAAAGGAGGATCTGATTATATTCATTGTGAGAAACTAGATAAGCAGTTAACAAGACACCAGTAAGAGGACCTGCCACTATTAAGATTCCAAGGAACTCATGACTTTGGTTCCTTATTTACTTAAGTGCATGGAAAAGCCTTTCATTGCTCATCTATAATTTACAAAGTTTCTAAATTGTTTCCAATGGTTCTACTTTATCCTAAACCTACTGAGGGTTGAAACAGTTTAATGGAATTTGAGGTAATTAAAAGAAAAGTAAGGAATTTCAGGTAAGAGAAAATTTTAAGGCTAAAGAGAAACACTCAACAAAAATAAAAGAAAACTTTTGAATACAATCATACTCCTCCAAGAGAATATTTCCAGTTCTCCTCATCATCCTATTTGCTTCCCAGACCTCAACACATTGGCTCAGTGAAGTCTATTCATGCCCCTCTTAAAGGCAGTTGTACTCTTCATCTCAGAAGGCACTTAGTCCACATTAGTATTCAGAAAAACCATTTCCTTCTTCACTTATTTTATATTTCGTGTTATATTTTTGGTAGGAGATTAGATCACACTGGAATTAGAAACCAAAGCATAGAAAAGATTTTCATCAAAATTGTTATTTTTGTAGGAAATTTCATACTTGATCACAGTCAACATAAAAGTTCATTTCTTCAAAAAATTTTGACATATGTGAGACTTGTTCTAAAACTCCCCTTCATGATATAATGCATTTTATTTTGATATATTATTTGGATTTTAGGGGGCATTATCATAAAAACAATGAATACTCAGTAAACTGTTTTGGAAAGGTAAAAATAACCACAATTTACAGTCTTTTTCTCATGCATACCCACATATAATGGTTTTTAATTGTGTGCTATATGTGCACTTGCCTGAACTTCTATATATTGGTAATTTTCTTAGTAACTGCTTGTCAAAACTGCCAATTAATGTTTACCTAATGTTGTATTATATACTTTTACTTTGTTTAGCCATTCAAAAATGTTTCCCATTTTAAAATTTTCAAATGTCCTATTCAGATTTAAATCTAATTACCACTTTATAATTGGTTTAGGGCAAAATAAATGTTCATATATATTATATTTAAAATTTTTATTTTAATATTGTCTACTAAAAAATAAGTTATCAAATTATTTAATCATATTTCTATAAAATACGATTTCTCAGTCAGCAGATGACAAAAAATAATCAATATCAGAGCTGAAGTGAGTGAATTTGAGATGTGAAAAACCATACAAAAGATCAATCGTCTGTACACCAAACTCCCATGACATGCAAATTACCTGTATAACAAACCTGCACATGTACCCCTGAAATTGAAAGTTAAAAAACGAAGTATAGTAAATACCAGAAAAATAGAAAAAAGCACAATGATATGATTTCCCTTCTATAAGTTTAATAAGAATCAGAAATATTCATCTAATTAGTTAACAATTAAGAAAAGTCTCCATTGGGATTAGTTAAACCAATGTGATTCTTTTCAAAATCATGGATAAGTAATTGAGAAATTGGTTTTGAGTTGAAGTCTGCTGCTATTTAGCTATCATTGGACAACTCATTTATGCCGTTAATTTTATTGTATATGTAATGAGAAAATTTGATTAAATCTTTTTTTTTTTTTTTTTTTAGAGACAGGGCCTTGTTCTGTTGCCCATGCTATAGTGCAGTGACATGATCACTGCTCACTGCAGCCTCAACATCCTGGGTTCAAGCAAACCTCCTACATCAGCCTCCTGAGCAGCTGGGACTGCAGGTGTGAACCACCATGCCTGGCTAATTTTTGTATTTTTTTTGTGTCTCAATAAAAAAAAAAAAAAAAAAGGAAAAGAATGCTTATAAGCAGTTCATACTGGTACATTTAGAAATCCTTAAAATATATATGACTAATTTGGCAGCTAACTACTCTTTACTTTTAATATGATAATTGTATACACATGGCAACAGAAAGTCAATTTTAAAACCTCAAAATTTGAACTTCGGTTATACATTTCATTGGTTTTTCCTCTATCGGTCATGATTTTAAAAGTTTTATTGCTTAAACATGCATTTAAACAAAAGAATACATGTAACTTATAATTTATAAGTAAGCTAAAAGTCATAGTAATAAAATGAATACCCATGAATCCCACTATTCAAGTGAATTAAATAATATTCCTAGTACTTCTGCATTTTTCCCTTGGTGCTCTTGCTCAATCTTATTCTCTTATACCCCTGAACATCAACATTCTGGATTTTTGTGTAATCATGTCTTTTCTTTATTTTTGTATCTTTATTTAGGCATATATTTCTAATTATAAATATGCTTGACCTTGTACCTTTTGTTGTTTTGTAAAATGTTATCATACCATACCATAATATATGTGGTCTTCTGTGACTCATTTTTTTAAACTGAATATTATGTTGCTATGATTCATGACATCACTGTTACTTTAGCTGAGGTTCATTAACTTTCACAGATATATAATATCTGAATGTACATAAATATCCTTAATATCCCTTCACTTGTCAAAGGAAGCTTGTGTGCTTCCAGATTGGCTATTTTGAATAATGCTACTATGAAATAAAATGGAACGTTCCTTGTTTTGCACATGTAGGAGAGTTTTCTTCAGATATACTTAGAAGTGGAAATGCTGGTCTGTAGGATTCACAAACATTACACTTGCATAATACTACCTGGTGTGGTTGTATCCACCAAGAATATGGCAAATAGTCACCAACATTTGGTATTATTGGGGTTAACTTTTGCCTAAGGCAAGTAAGTAAAATAATATATCACTGTAGTCTTAATCTTCTTTTCTAAGTTTACAAAAAAAATTAGTTATATTTTTGTTTATTTATTTACATCAATATTCCTGTTGTTAAATATCTGTTCATGGTTTTGCCAACTTTTCTACAGAATTGTTTGATCTTTTTGTTCTGATTACTTCTTATCAATTCATTATTTTATATTTAGCACCTTCTAATGGCAGGTTTGAGAAATTCTTCCCTACTACTTAATCCTTCAAAAGTGGATTTTTGTGTATAGTGTGATGCAGGGATCTTGAGGTTGTAATGATGACAGGGTAACCTCCACAGGTATCTCTGCATAGGGCATCTTCCTTTAGTCAGGGGTGATCCTCTGGAGAAGGGGACAGGCATAACCTGTCAGGAGCCAACATCCACAACTGAGGCATGCATGGAAAAGCCCTGTAATGGGGATCTGGGTGTGCTCAAAGAGTGTATGCAAGAAATAGGGAACCTAATGTCACCTTATAAATAAGCCTAGTTGTGAAGAATACCAAATAAGTTATTATAACCCTCCTTTAAATAGAAAAATTAGTATGAAAAATGGCATGCAACATTATTATTATTATTTTTTTAGACTGAGTTTCGCTCTCGTTGCCCAGACTGGAGTTCAATGGTGCAGTCTTGGCTCACTGCAACCTCTGTCTCCCAGGTTCAAGCGATTCTCCTGCCTCAGTCTCCCGAGTAGCTACGGTTACAGGCATGAGCCACCACGCTTGGCTAATTTTGTATTTTTAGTAGAGACGGGGTTTCTCCATGTTGGTCAGGCTGGTCTCGAACTCCCGACCTCAGGTGATCTTCCGGCCTTGGCCTCCCAAAGTGCTGGGATTACAGGCGTGAGCCACCGCACCCAGTCTCAACATTCTTATTCAGGTATGGGCTATCAAGTATTAAATGACTGAGCTAGACACTTTAAATAAAAGACGAACATCAGTATAGACTTTCTAAACAACAACAACAAAAATTTCCTACATGTTATTTTCCAACTTTTTCCTGCTGTTACTTTGTTGCAGCCTGCTTAAAGTAACTACTTGTCAATGCTCTCACTCTCTCAAGTTTATTACAAGAAAAAATGACATATCTGTATGTAGTGGTGGCTGTCAACTTGATAATTTCCCAAGCTGTGTGCACCCTGGGTGTCAGATTTTCCTAACATTGAGGCTATTTACATGAGAACTAAGAAGCTTCTCAGAACAAGATTATACAAGAAGGGTGAGAATCTAGCCACATGAATTGAATTCAAGAAGAATGGCTTATATTCGGAAGGGGTTGGAGATTTGGATAGAACTCAATGCGAATAACACATATACCACCCATCCCCAGTCTTCTGATCCCTGTGGCAGTCCAAAGTAACAATGAAGGGGAAGTATAAATTTAAAAAAAAATAATAACCTCACCCAAACTCTAAAGATATTGAGAGTATAAGGCTGCCATGCTCTACAGCCAGTATAACAGGGCCAGTCAGAGTGGGGACAAAGTATATCAGCTCCCATTCAGGGTAATATTAATGGCAAGGGTTGCATCTGCAAGCCAGAGGGAATAGAAGTGAACTCCAAGACCTTGACCACGGCATGGCACAGGAAGTCCATATCACAGCCAGATTATGGAAGGATAAAATGACAGAACAGGAGTGTAATTAGTTGCCAATTCAGGCTGGAAGAAAACAGCAGATGCTATGGGGATAGCCCAAAGAACAGGTGTAATTGGAAGGTATTTTAAGTCAGTTAGAGATTCACATTCCTCAATTACTAGAGGAAAAGAGAAAGTAAACAAGCTGTTTTCTGTGCTTTTTATGACCCTATATTTACCCTCAAGCTCTTGTAACCTAGGGGTAAGAAGGCAAAAGTATTTTCATAATATCTGTGAATCATGGTTTGAACGTAAGTGGGAGACCGTATAAAGAGGCTGTGGGTGAATCAGATTTAAGGAAAATCAAGTAGTAGGACTAGAAAAGTACATTTTAATTTAAAAAGCAAAACAGTACTGTCGAAAGTTGTTAAGTAGGAAACCGTTCTCGTCCAAGACTTTGATTCTATTTTCTAAAACAAACAACTGGAGCAATTTTGATTCATCTGAAGCGCACAGATGCACAGAAATACCTCTAGTTTCCATTCTTTTAAAACAATATCTTAGTGGGAAAAGATTGCTGCAGTTTGTAACATAAATGATAACGATCAATTTCTCAAAATCCTAAAATGAGTTACAATTATATGTTAAATAATGTCCAGGATGTTAATCTGTAGCAATAGCACTGAGATTGGTGAAAAACGGGGGGGCCAAACAGATAAATGGATCCTGACTGTAGGATTTTTTTCTTGCCTACTCATCACTATGGTAACCAACATATTTTATTATAACAACTTCCCATGCTGTCGTGTTCCCTGCTGACCTATTTCTTCAACACTTCACTACCAGACTAATTTTTTGAAAATGTACTATAAATCTTTCAGTTCCTTGCTCAAGAACTTAAAATGGCTTCCTGCTGCCTATGAAAAAGTTATGGCAATTAAATGGCTCAACAATTTCTAAGGTCATTTATTTTCCATTGCCCAATTTCTAATCTTCATGACCACCAAGCCCTTTGCCAAGTTACTTCTATCTATTCCACTGTTAGGACTGCTTAAAAACTTTTGCCTAACCTGTTTCCTCCATCTTCCACATCGTGTCCAAACTTTAAACTCTGCCTTTTTCAGTAGACCATCTCTGATAAATCGTGCTCTTTCTTCTCTGTACTTCTGCTACAGTTTTAAGAAAATATCATGCACAGTAGCAACTAAATATTCTGAGTGTTTGAAGTGTATTTTACTTATACACTCAGTTCTTTAAAGGCAAGTGGAGAGCAAGGACAAGGACTGTATCTTGTACATTTATGGTGATCTACATGAAACTCAACACCATACATGCTCCATTAGATACACACAGAAAGTAGCTGTTTTTCTGGGCTTTCAGTGCTGACACACCTTACATTTAATCTCAGCTTTCTTTTGCTCTTCTAGTGGCATTATATCTCCACGTCACAGTTTCCTCAAAATCAAAATGAGCACAAGAGCTATTTTTATCCTAGAATACAATGAGATAATGTATGTCTGATAAATAGTGAGTTTTTAATAAATTCACTATTATTAACCTATAAAGACAGAATTTAAAGCATTGTTTTTGAAAGCTTGGTCCAGCAGCAGGTGGGGAAACGTGTTTTCTACATTTCCATCAATGGCTTACTATATAAACATATCATGTTGCTCAAGGATGCTATGGGTACAGAATATGACAGAGATGAGAAGAATGGAAGTAGTTATCTGCTTATATAATCTGATGTGAGTCAACCTTCTCCACTGAAAAATTATAATTCTTAGAACTGACTCCAGCTTAACCTCTAATCCACCCTATTCGTAAGATTCACTATCTTTGGAAACTGGAAAAAAATTTAGAAGGCACTTGCCATAATTCAGGCCAAATCTGTCAAAAACTGAAAATAGGAGATAAAATTAGGGATAGACATAAGGAATGAAACCAGAAAAGTTAATGAAAGAAGAGAAGACAGGATTTGGCATTCCAAAAATATTGCATTGGTGTAGCTAAGAGATTAGCATTAAGCTAAAGGAAATATTTATTACCTTGATTACAAAATTTAAAAAGCTCCCCAGAATATTGTGACATTCAAGTCTTGGATTATATCCTAGAAATAAAGGACAGCTTTTACAGCAGTCACATAATAGTAATAAAAGAAGATATTATTGCTGAGCTATCGCTCTGTTCCAAGTCTGTGCAGTCTTTTGGAATTCTCAAAACAACTCTATGATGCAGTCACTACTATTACTCTCTATTATAGGAGAAGAAACAAGGCTTAGAGAGGTCTAGTAATTTTCCTAAAGTCAGAGAGCTGGTAAATGTCACAGGCAGGATTTGATTCTGGGCCAGGCCTGCTCCAAAGATCACGCGCTAAACTGCAGTTATTACACTTCTCAAGTCACATCAGAAGGTTGGCTCAAATGGAGATGGTGATGCCCCACGCTTCATGGATTATTCAATTTTCTCTACTTAATCTTTAGGTGACTTTAAAGGCTTTATTTGCATGCAAGTTTTTCAAGTAACAACAGCAACTAATTTAACAAGAACATTTATTGAGAACTTACTGGGTGCCAGAGACTATTCTAGGTACTTTTTCTAAATATTTTTTAAACTTCGCAGTCATCCTCTGATGTAAGCATTAATCATCATCATCATCATCATCATCACCACCACCATCACCATTACTACTATCATCATCATTATCTATGCTTACCAGATAAGGAAATTGAGGCACAGTGAGGTAACTGTCATTGCCAAGTGTTAATTCACAGTTAGTGGTGGTACCAGCATTTAAACCCTGGCAGGCTGATCACCAGACTTGTGCTGTAACATACAGGGGCAAATAGTATCCTGCCAGAATTCTGTCTCTGTTTTCTGTATTAATTTTTCAATTAAATTTTGGCTTGTTAGTTTCAGTATATTATTCCAGCCTGTCAAGGTTTTAACTTTGATTCTCTCTCATTCATCTATTATAATAGGTAGCCTGCACAGGTTTCTACCATCTGCAAATTTGAGGTTTGAATTGCACTTTCTGTTTTTTTTTTTTGCAACAGAATTGAATTATAAACATTACTAAAAAGCCAAAATATACATAGATATTTACACATAAGGCCATGGATGATTTGTTTTTCGATATAATCATGAATTATTTTTATTCCGTATTTATTATCTGACAAAATTATGTATTTAAAATCTAACAAATTGGGTTCATAATAGATTCCAAAAGTATTCAGGGATAAAGCTACCATGATGCCTTATTTCTGAAAGCTAAAAACATGTAGTATGTTTAAATTGTTCATACTTAAAACATTCTCATTGCATTGTTGAGTTATTTCCAGTATTTCTGTCATTTTTGTATTTGCTAGAGCACCTTAAAAGAGATAAAATTCAAATTGCTAGTGTTTAGTTTTGAAAATCCAATGATGCTCAAGTGGGACCTACTATGATGTGAATATATGAATATTTGGTATGCTTTTAGTTTTTCAATATTTATTTTGAAATAATGATAGATGCATAAAAAGTTCCAAAAATAATACAGAGGTTCTTGTATGCTTCTTCCAGCACCCTATAATGGTAATATCCTACGTAGTTAGGCTATAGTATCAAAATCAGGAAATTAACATTGGTGCAATATGATTAATTACACTATAAATTTATTTAGAATTAATCCATTTTTACATGCACTGATTTGTGGGGGGTGTGTGTGTGTGTGTAGTTCTATGTATTTTTTTCAAATTTATGGATTCACATAACCACCACAGCAACCAAGACATAGAAGAATAACTCCATCACCACCAAGAAATTCCTTTGTGCTACCCCATTAGAGCTGCATCCTTCCCTATGTCCCTAAACACTGGAAACCATTAATCAGGTCTTCTTTTGTAAAATTTTGTGATTTCAAGAATGTTATATAAATATAATCACATAGTATGTAACATTTTGAGATTGACTTTATTTACTCAGCATAATAATGTTCTTGGGACCCAGTCAAGTTGTGTATCAGTAATTTGTTCATTTTTATTGCTGAGTAATATTCCATGGTATGTATGTACAATACTTTTATTTATTTGTTTTTTATTTAGAGACGGGGTCTTGCTATGTTGCCCAGGCTGGTCTTGAACTCCTGGCCTCAAGCAACCCTCTCACCATGGCCTCCCAAAGTGCTAGGATTACAGATGTGAGTTACCATGCCTGGCCTACAACAACTTTAACCACTCACTCATCAAAAGATATCTGGGCTTTTCCTGTTTTTGACTATTACAAATAATGCTGCTATAAACACTTCAGTGCAGGTTTTATGTGTGTACATGCATAGGTTTTTGTGCAGATGAATGCCCAAAAGTATCATTACCATGTCATATAAGTAATAGCAAATTTAATGTCATAAGAAAGTTCTAAATTGTTTTCCAGAATGACGTATTACTTTATATTCACACCAGCAATCCATGAGTGACCCAATTTCTTTGCATTCTTGCCAGCATTTGGTGTTGCCACTATTTTTAACTATAGCTATTCCAATAGGAGTCTAGTGATAGGTCAGTGTGGTATTTTATTTGTAATGGCTAATGGTGTCCAACTTTTCATGTGCTTATTAGCCATCTGTATATATTCTTCACTGAATCTCTATTTATGTCTTTTTCTGATTTTCTAATTGAGTTTTTTACTGTTAAGTTTTGAAAGTTCTTTATGTAATCTGCATACAATTTTTTGATGTATGGTTTGCAAAATTTTCTCCAGAATTCTACTATTGTTGGTAGAATGTTCTAAGTGTCAATTAGACATGTCGATGGATTATGTTGTTCAGCTATTCTATGTATTTTTCTGAATAACTGTCTAGTAGTTCTGTCAGTTCCTCAGATGGGTACGTTGAAGTCACCAAGTCTAATTGCTGATTTGCCTCTCCTTTCAGTTCTAGCAAAATTGCTTCTTGTATTTTTCTAGATCTGTTGTTTAGTATATACATTTAGGATTGCTAAGTTTTCTAGATATATTTGCCTTTTTACCATTACATAATGCCCTTTGTTCTTAATTTGTCACTGGTAATTTTCATGGCAATGAAGACTACTTTTTATGAGATAATACATATATTTATATATATTTGCCTATATATATCCCAAACACATGTATATATAAATATGTATAAATATACATGTGTGAATACATTTATATATATATCTAACTCTCTCTATATATATACTTGTATATACATAAAATCTATATACCTATATCTAGCTATTTATTCATGTGTGCAATAGTTTTTTTGATTTTTTTTGGATGAGTGCTTGCATGGTATAACTTATTTTATCCTTTTAATTACCACCTTCTCATATTATATTTGTAGGGAGTTTTAAAAACCTACTCTTTTTTTAAATTGGCATATTGAGATAATTTACATGTAATATAAATAATATATATGTTAGAACTAAATCTGCCACTTTATTATTCGTTTCCTCTATTAATCATCTCCCTTTCCCCCCTTTCTAACCTTCCTGTGGGTTAGGTGGGGTTTTTTTTTAGAATTCTATTTTGTTTAATCTATGATTTCTGTAATGTTTTGCATACAGACAATTTTATTGGCATATATGTATGTATGTATATGTGTGTGTATATGTATGTATATATGTGTGTATGTATGTGTGTATGTATGTGTATATGTGTGTGTATGTATGCATGTATATGTATGTGTGTATATACATTGGCATATTTACACACATACATATACACACACATATATGTATGTGTGTGTATATATATATATATATATATATATATATATATATATATATGGATCAATGGACAGACATAGCTATATAGATGTAGATATCTATTTCAGCCTCTCTACCATTTCCCCATCTGACAATGTTATACTTTTTGCTTCAACAATCAAATAGAATTTTACACACTCAAAAGGAGAATAATCAGTTATATTTGCCCCTATTTTTATCTTTCCTGTTGTTCACTATTACTTTTTAATATTCACTGTTTCCTTTTGTTATTTCTTGTCTGTTTGAAGATCTTACTTTATCCACTCTTTTAGGGATGGTCTGCTGCTGACAAAGTCTTAGTTTACATCCACCTGAGGATGTCTTTATTTCACCTTTTGTCCTAAATATATTTTTATTGCATACAGAATTCGGCATTCACAATTATTTTTTGCACTTGAAAAATGTTGTGCTACTTCCTTCTGGACTGCATGGCTTCTGAATAGAAATATGCCATCATTCAATGTATTTTGTTCCTCTATAAGTTATGTGCCATTTCTCTCTATCTGTTATAGAACATTTTGTTTATCTTCAGTTGCCAGAAATGTTAAGACAATGTGTTTTGGTGTTGATTTGTTTGAAATTTATCCTATTTGGAATTTGCTGAGTTGCATTATTTTATAGGTTTTCACCTGGTTGCCAAAATTGGAAAAGCTTCTTTCTTTCTTTAATTATTTCTCAGGCCTATATTATTCTTTTCCCTTACCTTCTTGGACTCCAATGATACAAAATTCAGGTATTCTGCTGTTGACCCACAGGTCTCTAAGGCTCTGTTATTTTATTTATTTTTAGCCTATATTTTCTCTATTATTCAGAGTGGGTGTTTTCTTTTTAACTATCTTCAAATTCACTGATTCCTTCATTTGCTATCTCTAATCTGCTATTGAATGCTTCCTGTACATTTTTTTAGTTTCATGGTTATATATTTTGTATTTAAAATTTTCTTTTTAAACATATTTTTCTTTTTTAAAATTTTTGGTAAGATGTTCTATTATTTCCATTTGTTTCAAGAGTGTTTGTAATTTCTCCTTGGTTGTTTTTATACTAGTTGCTTTAAAATCCTTGCTAGATAATTACAACCTCTGTTTCAGACTCATGTTGATGCTTGTTGATTTTCTTTTCTCATTCAAGTTGAGATTTTTCTGGTTTTTAGTATCTCTACATTTTGCATATTATGTTTTAAGACTCTTATTCCTACGGAAATAATCTATTTTAGGAGGCAGCTATTCAGTTTTGACTTAGCAAACAGATCTTAGCCTACTTTTGTGAGCTGTGATTAAATGACAACTTCAAATTTCAGAACTATTTCAGTGTTATTCTTGTCTGTTTCTTTTGTGCAGTACCCGGAGAGCAATCTGATTCTTGGAAAATTCTGAAGGTTTAAGGTTTTAGTTCTTAAACCTTCTGACATTTTGATATGGTCAGTTTCACATGAGACTTACTCAGGAGTTTGCACAGGACTTTATATTTGTTTTAAGAGTCCCTTTTTCTCATCTCTACCCTCTCTGTAATTCCTTTTCACCTCTCAAGTGTGGAGGGGCAGGAGCACCGCTTCATTTGTACTGGGAAGGAATGGGAGTCCATGTCCTCCAGTCAACCTCTGTTGACTCCAAACCAGCAGTGGGAAGAGGGAGAGGCACCTCCTCGTTACTGCTATGCAGGGAGTAGATGTCTGAGCTCCCCACTCAATCTCTGCTGACACTGTATCAGCAGCAGCAAGTGAAGTGTCACTGCCTCATTACTGCTCTGTATGGATAAAATTCTAGGTTTCCCACTCAGTTTTTGTCAGTGAGGAGGGGGCACGGCTTCACTGCCGTTGGGGAGGGGATGAAAATTCATACTTCCTCCTCAGCCTCCAAAGACACTGTGTGGACAGCAGAGAGGGACAGGTCAGTGTTTTTCATCATGGTCTTCAGCTGAAGAAGGGTGATTATCGTAAAAATGATTTTTGCTCTCCTTTTTTGTCCCCCTTCTGGTCCTTAGGCTCGAGAGGGAGCTTTTTTTTTTTCTATACTTGCTGCCTTTTCTAGATTGTGAGTTTTTCCAGCATCTTGTCTGGGATACATAGGAAGTAAGAAAAAAACCAAAACCCAGAAAACTTACTGCCTTGCCGTTCATCAAATGCCAAGATCTTTAGCCAAATTCCTCATCCTTTCCAACTTTTTGGAGGGTATTTCTATGGTTGCTTTATGTGTCATGTATAGGAGTTTTAGCTCTGTTTAATGTGAGGAACAAAGAGAAATCTGTATTTATTTATTTATTTTTTGAGATGGAGTTTTACTCTTGTTGCCCAGGCTAGAGTGCAGTGGCACGATCTCAGCTCACTGCAACCTCCGCCTCCCGGGTTCAAGCGATTCTCCTGCCTCAGCCTCCTGAGTAGCTGGGATTACAGGTGCATGCCACCAAGCCCGGCTAATTTTTGTATTTTTAGTAGAGACGGGGTTTCACCATGTTGGCCAGGCTGGTCTTGAACTCCTGACCTCCAGTAATCCACCCGCCTCAGCCTTCCAAAGTGCTGGGATTACAGTCATGAGCCACCGCGCCCAGCCATATCTATCTTTTTAAGAACTAAAGTCCAAACATTTTTTTTACAAACAAATTTATATTTGCTTTATGATAACAGCTCACACACGTGAATATAGGGAAAGCTGTTAACAGTTGTGTTAGAATGGCAAGATTATTCCTCTTTTTTTTTAACCAATATTCTACCATGATACTTATATTACTTCTATGAAGGAAACATTAAGTTTCTAATTAAATTTCTAAATGTGCTTATTGTGCTTTATGTTTCTCAGTTATTTAAATACTCTTTAGCTCAGGTTTACTTACTTACCTATCACCGTAAGTGCCAACGTCTCTATTTGCCAGATCACCGCTGACCTTTCTTTTGAGAAGGAAAAAATTTTAAAGAAGTAAAATACTCTATCTTTTGCTGAGCATAACACTCAAGGTTTGAACAGGATCAAAAGGAGATATATATTTAAAAATTTATTGCCAGGAATTGGCTTACATGATTGTGGAGGTTGTTTAGGCAAGTCTGAAATTTATAGTGCTGGCCATCAGGAAGGGCAGGCTAGAATGCTACAATAAGAACTACTGCTATACACAGAATTTATTCTTGTGTAGGGAAGCCTCAGCTCTGATTTTAATGCCTAGTAACCGATTGATTTAGCCTTACCCTGATTATCTCGGGTACTTTACTTTACTTAAAATCTATTGATTATGAGCCTGGTGCAGTGGCAAACACCTGTAATCCCAGCTGCTGAGGAGGCCGAGGTGGGAGGATCACTTGAGGCCAGGAGTTCAAGACCAGCCTGGGCAACATAGTGAGACCCTGCCAAAAAAAGAAATCAAAAGATTATAGACTTAAATCACATCTACAAAATACTTTCATGACAATACCTAGACTAGTGTTTCAATAGCTGAGGACTTTAGCAAAGCCAAGTTGACATACTCAAAAACCCAATACACTGGGTAATCTAATACAAGATTTTCTGTTATAGCTAATAAAATATTTCAAAACAAAATATAAAAATTACATCAGAGCATAGGTCATGTTCAAATGTGTACTAAAAAAAGTTATTTAAGCATTGTGATTGTACAAGATGGGGCATGAATTGTATATAATTTATAGGTAACATATTATTATATGGATTTAAGATATGTTAAAAACAGCAAAATTATATTGTGAAAAATTACTACAAAATATTTCTGTGTAATAAATAAAATTGCCTTAGCTATCTTTTTATCAGATTTAATTAATATAAATGTATTACCTAACCTTTACAATGTAATATTTGTAAAAAATTAATTTTGAAGCAACAAAATGTGACATAATAAACATTCTGGAAATGTTTTTATAATAAAATAGAGTGAAAAATATAAGATGCAAAATCTAGTATGTATATTATGCACTCAATAGTAATGTTTGTTTTGTTTTGTTTTGAGACAGGGTCTTACTCTGTCACCCAGGCTGTAGTGCAGAGGACTGATTTCGGTTCACTGCAACCCCTGCCTCCCGGGCTCCAGCAATCCTCCCACCTCAGCCTCAAGAGTAGCTGGGACCACAAGTGCGCATCACCATGCCCAGCTAATTTTTTGTAGAGATGGGGTTTCGCTATGTTGACCAGGCTGGTCTTGAACTCCTGGGCTCAAGCAATCTGCCCACCTCGGGCTCCCAAAGTGCTGGGATTACAGGTGTAAGCCATGGCACGGGCCTGCTAATGTTTATTATAATGTTAATTATTACTAGAAAACATTATTAATCAATGCTATAGTAAGCCCATACTATATGCCAGTCACTCCAATAAATGTTTTTGATGCTCAAAGCAACTCCATTAAGTATTATTATCTTCCCCTTATTACAGATGAGGAAATTGAAAGTCCAGGAATTTAGCTCGTAGGGATTAAATCTAACACATAGGCAATGTAACAATTATCTCTATAATTAAGTTTAAATACATAGGAAGGAATTTTGGTGAATAGCTTTAAAATCTTTAGGTAGGCCGGGCACAGTGGCTCACACCTGTAATCCCAGCACTTTGGGAGGCCGAGGTGGGAGGATCACCTGAGGTCAGGAGTTCGAGACCAGCCTGACCAACATGGAGAAAGCCCGTCTCTACTAAAAATACAAAATTATCCGGGCGTGGTGGCGCATGCTTGTAATCCCTGCTACTCGGGAGGCTGAGGCATGAGAATCGGTTGAACCCGGGAGGCAGAGGTTGCAGCGAGCAGAGATAGTGCCATTGCACTCCAGCCTGGGCAACAAGAGCGATATTCCGTCTCAAAAAAAAAAAAAAAATTCAGGTAGGGGAAATCCTTTTTAAAGATTGAAACTTTCCATAAATCATCAAGAAAAAGCCCATAACTGACAGTCTGCAAATTTAAAACTTTTAAAAAAAGTTTAAACGTAAAAAGCACTGCAAAAAACAATGTTTAAAGACAAGAAACACTGGAAGAAAATATTTTCGTTTTTCTTTCTATGTTACATATTTTTCTGCTGGTTATCAATTTATTGACTCTCAGCTCCAAATGCAAAATTTCAGGATGCTCTCTGAAATTGAATCTGGGCTCTTTAAATATTTTTCCTTTGCCAACTGAAATTGAATCATTCTCAATAGAGGGCGCCAAAGATACACTGCAGGAGGAAAGGGTTGTACTTCCTTGTTCCGCTGACTCAGCGGGTTCCTGAAGCATGCTTAGCTTTCTCCGACATTAGGCTCCTGCAGCACAGGCAGTTTCTCCAGTACCTAGCTCTTGCAGTGTACAGTGCCAGCCGTATCCAGCAGTAAGTAGCTTCCCCTGGCATCCTCCCGAAAGCCTTTTTGTAGCAAAGTGTTTCTGATGAAATACCTCTCCACGCCGGGAGCGGTGGCTCACGCCTGTAATCCCAGCACTTTGGGAGGCCGAGGCGGGGGAATCACGAGGTCAGGAGATTGAGACCATCCTGGCCAACATGGTGAAACCTCGTCTCTACTAAAAATACAAAAAATTAGCCGGGCATGGTGGCACATCCCTGTAATCCCAGGTACTCGGGAGGTTGAGGCAGGAGAATCGCTTGAACCCAGGAGGCAGAGGTTGCAGTGAGCCGAGATCGTGCCACTGCACTCCAGCCTGGGCACCAAGAGCAAGACTCCGTCTCAAAAAAAAAAAAAAAAAGAGAAATACCTCTCCATGGGCAACTTACCTCCTCACCATAGAGGGAAGATTTCCAAAAAGTTCTGTGAGTGTAGTATTCCAGACACGTCTCTGTTATTCAGTGAACCATGGCTGTGGTCTCTCCAACAAGGTCTGGATTTCAACCCTAGGGGAGGGGTGTCTTCCTGGGGTGCTCTATCTTAACCCTGACATAGTGATTACTCATTATATCTGCTATTTCTATATTCTTTAGAGTCATCTTTTCTTCCTACTAGCCGGTCTTTCATGATGCCAATAATATAATTATATTATTGTTGATAATTTTTTATGCTATAGTTAATGATTATAGTGAATATTCTTTATATTAAACACTCCCTGTTCAGATTATAATATGGTTTGTCTCAGATTCAGATTGATATGCAATTGGTACCAGTAGTGATCCCAGGAGATAGACTCTCTGTCAAAAATAGGATTTTAGTTTGGTCATACCTTTGGGTTTGAGAGCTGTGCTGATCTCCTTGCCAATGGGAAAATTGATGTTGGTGTGGTGGCCTCAAAATTAATCAAGCTATCACTTGTGGTTGATTGTGATAAAATGCTAACTGAAACTTGTGCCTTAGGAGCCCAAGTGGCTGCTAAACTTGATTATTATGACAGTAATGATGACTAAAATGACTGTGGTATGGAATAGATTATTTGGAGTTCACTTGAGTGCTAACAAAGAGAAAATGACAAGCTCAGAAATGTTAAATCCCAGCTCCAGTTATAGTTCACGAATCAAAGACCTTCTATGACAGTCCTAAAAGGAGCTATTACTTATTGTACTCAGAGGGCTGATGTTGCTGAAAATCAAACACAAAATTTAATTATGTGGGTTGCTGAATTACAATGACAGTTAAATTCTCAGGCTTGCCAAGTTTCTCGTGAAATTTAGGGCTAAGAATGGGATCCTGAAATTTGCAGTGGAGACAATTGGTTGGATCCACATAAAATTGACAATCTCGAGCTCCAGTGTCAAACTTTCTAAGGCATTTCATTGCGAAAGCTGTGGGCAAGAGCTAACAAGCCAGGTTTGAAAATGCATCACAGGCTGCAGACTTTATTTCAACCTGTAGTGCCCTTGAACATGTTCAGAGGTCAAAAATATCACTATATGGAATCAATTCCAGAAACCTGTCAGTGGATAAGAAAACCCTGAGAGTATCTCCTGAAGAAAAAAGAAATCTTTCCTCTGAAGAGTGAATGGAGTAGGAGCCATTAGAAGGACAGAGAAAAATAGAAGGAAATAGGAGAGGAGGATGTTGGGGAAACACATGTAGGAGGGTATTTACAAATGATAGAAAGGGCCAATGGTGTAAAATACTGCAGTAAGTTCCATTAGTGAAAAGACTTAAAAGTGTCCACTGGATTTTCTCTTGGTGACGTTTGCAAGAGTGGTTTGAGTATAGTGGAGTAGAGAGTGGGATGGTAGATGAGGAGGTAGGAATACAGATTGCCTTAACTCATCTGCAATAAGTTACTTCCTTTGAGTTTGCCCTGTGTTTCCTTGACTGACAGTAATTGTGAAACAATATGTGTATTTCCTTACAGACAGGAATAAGGTCAGCATGCCTGACATCACCACAAACCTTAAATATAATTCTGGATGTTCTGACAGTGTAATGCAGTCATAAAAAAGGAAATGATAATGATGGTGATGATGATGGAGATGCATAAATTCTTGACATAAAGATAAACATTTGGTAAAATATCATTATATGAGATTGAGAAACTGTTTACTTAGAAAACCTTGAAAAATAACTGATGATATACTAGAAATAATCAGAGAAGTTCAGTGAGGGAACCAGATGCCAGATGAAATGGAAATAAATAAAATTAAGCTTTCTTTTAACGAGCAATAACAAATTAAAAATAATAATGAAAAATATTTCCCACTTACAATATATGTGCATATTAAAGATAAATATGTGGTAAAATTTGCCATTTCTTGAGTGGAAAAACTCAATGGCTTAAATGTATCAGTTTTCTGAAAATTATATATTTAAGGTCATCCCAATTCAACATTACAAAACTTTTTATTTCTTAACACAGAAAAAAATTACTCAAGAGTATAGACAGTTGAATGGATGAAAAGAGTCGAGAAGTCAATGTAATTGATATCTTTGAGGTAGAACTTTCTGTAAAAAATAGTAAAGAGTAGTATAAAGTTGTTGTAGTTTAAAAGAAAAAAGAAAAACACCAGGATTTAAATGGACTGATAGATCAAGAGCACATAATTAACTTAGCATATCACAAAAGAGTTATTTTATATCACTGTAGATACAGAATAGTATTCAATAAATAATGTCTATCAGGAAAAATTTAGGGAACAAATACTGCTAGACTCCTACCTGAACTCCTCCGTAAGAATAAATTTAAATGATTCTTTCCATTATAAATGTCTGTGAATATGCTTTTCCCCCAAGCTCCAAAAAATTAGTCATAATAAAAACACACAGACGAGTATGAAACAAATGACAGTGAAAAGGTACTGACTGCAGCACTGGTATAACACTAAATAGTTGGAGATGACCTAAATATTCAAAGAAGGGATTGGTAAAATAAATTAGGGTGTATCTATAAAACTGGATAATATAGAACCATTGAAATGAGGATTTATATATGTGTATAAGACAAAGATGATCACTATTTGTTGCGTGAAAAATTGTTTAAAATATTATTGGAATATGTATGCATTTTAGTAAAAATGTATATATTAATATATGTTTAGAAAAATTTAACTATGCTGACAGTGATATATTCATGTATAATATATAATGCCTATGATATTTATTTGCTATCTTCATTATATTTTTTCTGACATAATTTTGCATTCATATGAAGTAGCAAATCTATTTCATAATTGACAGTAATATATTGATGGCAACCATTTTTGTGTATTAACAGAAGCTGCCTTTTAGATTATTTGTAATGAAAATAGAAATAATCGTATAAGCTAGGTATTACTGCATAATGGCTTAAAATAACAATCAATTGTTGTTTACCATAGTTGTTATGAGTCCGAAATTGGAGAGGGCCTTGGATGGTTGCTTCTGGCTTTGGGTCTCCTATTAGGTCTCAGGACTGAAAGATCAGATTCCAAGGTAGATCATTTACATGGCTGGGAAGATAGTGCTGGCTTGTGGATCAAAGACCACAGTTCCTCTCCTCATGAGGAGAGCAGCCACGGGACTGCTTGCATGTCCTCAATATATACCTGCTGGCTTCTCCCACAGTTAGTGATTCAAGAGCACAAATTGGAAGCTGCAAAATCTTTTATGGCATATCCTTTCAAGTCACAAACTGTCGTTTTCATAGTATTTCATAGGTTGCAGGTTTGCCCCATTTTTTATTGGAGGGGATTACATAAGGGTGTGAATATCTGGAGGTGTGGATCAGTGAGGACTATTTTGAAGCCTAACACATAATTATATTAAGAAAACATAAAAATAAAATAATAAATGTATAAAAAATTATAAGATGCAATAGAATATCTGTTATGTTAGCATAGCAAACTGATTGGTCTTATTCATCAGCTGAAATGATTGAAAGCGTTATTGCAGAGAAAATATTTTAAAACTAATATTAGGTAAACAAAGATGCACACAAAAATGCATATAGGGTATTAGCTACTATTTAAAGTGAACGGTGGATAAAGATTGAGGTAAAATGAAGAAATTCAAATGGTTATATTAGAGAGTAGGATTATGGGCAGATAAACATTTTTATTTATTTTCTTTAATATCGTACCACTTTTTTTTTTTAACAAGACGTATTTAAAACAGAGACAATGTCAGTATTATACAACATTTAAGTCATTATATATTCTGTTTGTCTATAATTGAAATAATGGATGATTAATTCAAAACAGTATCAAAAATTAATAAAAACAACACAAAAGCCTACAAAGAAACCAAGAAAATTTATAAGAAATTTATAAGAAAATTTATAAGAAATTTATAAGAAAATCTTACAAACATCAAAGAGCAAACATAACCTAATGATAAATATGGATAAACCAATATTGAATATGCTTCTGTAAAAGTTGAGGGATTTTAAATTTGGACACATGAATACAAATGTTAGAAGGTAATATGATCCCAGCACTTTGGGAGGCCGAGGTGGGCGGATCACGAGGTCAGGAGTTTGAGATCAGCCTGGCCAATATGGTGAAACCCCGTCTTTACTAAAAATAAAAAAATTAGCCGAGTGTAGTGGCGCACACCTGTAGTCCCAGCTACTCGGAGGCTGAGGCAGAAGACTCGCTTGAACCCGGGAGGCAGAGGTTGCAGTGAGTGAGCTGGGATCGCGCCACTGCACTCCAGCCTGGGTGACAGAGTGAGACTCTATCTCAAAAAAAAAAAAAAAAAAAAGGTAATATGAACTGTTTCCAAATTGTTATGGCACATTTATTTCTTCATTCAATAAACAATTATGGAGCACTGGTTTTTTGTGTGATCATTAAATGAGGTGTTTATTACATAAAGTTGGATAAGACACTGTCTTTATTCTCCAGGTACCCATAATCAAGTAGTGAAAGCAAATAATTGCGATATATTATGATAAATCTTATATTTAAAAGCCTGGTATAAATAAGGAAGTAATCTCCATAAAAAGAGAAAGAAGGGATCAGCAAAATGATTTAAAAACTGAGTAGAGCTCTTATTTTCTATATACTATCAAAATGAATAACAAACCCAAGAACATTGGTGTTTTAAAAGATTAATTTTGTTCTATTTTGTAACATAGTTTTCTGTACATATGTTAGCCTCTTTCAAGTTGCAAGACACATGCTCAATTTCCTTCCTGTAATAAGATTTGTTTTAAAGATAAACAGAGAAGGCAGGAACAGCAGCCACACAGCCAGGACTCATGTGCGATTGAATTGTCAATCAGAATGCAACAAAGCCTTAGCAATTCAGGTATCCTGTCCTTCTCTTAAGAAAAGCTACACCTTGCTGGCATATCCTGTAGATATGTAATACCAAGTTTGTTTTTTCAGT